>NC_000020.11:4308759-4460274 GCF_000001405.40 Homo sapiens | reverse complement strand
CAAAATACCACATAAAAAGTCAAAAGACAAATGAAAAAATGCTCCCCAAATTGCAACTCATAGAGAAATGCCTAATCTTAATATAGAAAAAGCTACTGGAAATTAAGAAAGAATAATGCAACAAGCCAATAAAAATTTGATTTCAAAAAATGAAGACAATTTACAGATTAAGAAATAAAAGGTGGCCTATTAAAATATGAAAAGATGCTCAATGTCTACAAAAAAGGGTCAAACTCTGTAAAATATTTAAAGAGGCTTATTCCAAGCCAAATGTGAGGACCGTGATCTGTGACTTCATCTCAGAACATCTTGAGAACATTTGGCCTTGGTGGTTTGGTTACAACTTGATTTTTTGCATTTTAGGGAGACAGAAGTTACAGGCAAATACATAAATCCACACGCATAAGATTTACATTGGTTCAGCATGAAAAGGTGGAACATTTCAAAGCTTTGAGGGGCTTCTAGGTCATAGGTGAATTCAAAGATTTCTTGATTGGCAACTGGTTGAGAGAGTCAGGTTTTGCCTGAAGTATTCAAATTAGTAGAAAGAAATGCTTAGGGTTAAGATAATAGGGGCTGTGGAAGCCAAGGGTTCTTGTTATATAGATAAGCCTCCAGGTAGCAGGTGTCAGAGAGAATAGATGGTACATGTCTCTTATCAGACCTTAAAAGGTGCCAAACTCTTAGGAGTTAAATCTCTCCTAAATCAGGAAAATACCTGGAAAGGGAATGGGATTCTCTACAAAATGTAGACTTTCCCCATAAGAGATATCTTTACAGGGCCATTTCAAATATATCAAATAAATATATTTGGAGGTAAAATACTTCAATTTCTTTCAAGGCCTGCTATGTGTCATGTGATGTTATGCTAGTTGGCATTTGGTATCTCATTGCCACAAAAAGTCTGTTTTTATCAGTCTTAGGATCTCTATTTTAAATGTTAATGCTGGTCAGTTGTGCCTGAATTCCAAAGGGAGGTGAGTACAACAAGGTATGTCCAACCCCCTCTTCCCATCATGGTCTGAACTAGTTTTTCAGGTTTACTTTGGAATCACTTTACTTGTAATATAAGACATCTAAATTAAAATCACACTGCAATAATTTCAATGCTGTTCCCTCTGCTTCCCATCCTTCATTCTCTTAATATCACTATTTGGGCTAAATTTTATTCTGTGTTTACAGTGTTATGCTTATACAAATATAATTCACAGCTGAGTATTGTAACATACTACAATGATGTCTCTTTTCTTACTTTTTGTTTTTCCTAAAGTTAATAATTGCCTTGCTTTTGATTTGCTTAGACTTCTTTTTACTCTTGCTAACTCTCCCCACAACTTCCTCTCAGTGTGATTTTCTACAAGGCCAATCACATCATGTAAACTGTTGTTTCTACTTTTTTCTTAGAGACATGCTTTCTGGGAACCTCCATTCTACTCTCCTCGGAGTTGGTGGCCTGTTAGGCCTGATGAGAAGCTGTAACCCTAAGATTTCTTTTTATTGTCATATTCAAATTTCCTTTGCCTTTCTTCTGGGTTGTATTCTCTATTCTGGTATCACATATCTTCTTCCCTTTTGGTTTATTCCCATGGTACAGCACAGAGGAGGGACTTGATCAAGAGGGTGAATGTAGAATCTGGCTTCTAGTGCTTGGGAAATTGGCCTGGGGTCTCTGGACAAATAAAAAACATTACTAAACCACAATAGTAAACAACATACCTACAGGGAGGAGAGAACAGAAAGGAGTAGAATATTTGGATTGGATTATGCAGAGAGGCAAAAACATTTGGAAAAATATATTGTCCTCATAGATTGCTTTCATCTAGGGCTTTGCCACTTCCCAAGTCACCTCTGTTTATCTCCTTTCAATGTGTTCAGTACAGGCACTTGACACCTGGCAGTCACAGCTGGACTGCTTGGGTTATGTGCTGGCCTGTCAGGGACCTGGGCTGCAGTGACCCTTGCAAGAATCTGTGACTGTATGATTAGGATGATTCCTGGGCAGGACAGCCTTGATTTGCTGTTAAATGCCTTGTCTTTTGAGTGCATCTCCAGGCAGGCAGAGAGTCTTATTCTCTTTAGAAGCTGTCAAAAAGCTCAGATGTTTTCTTCAGTTGATGCTGAAATTACACACCCCCTCCTCAAGCAAATGCTCCTAGGAAATTGTTTAGACACTTTGTTTGAGCTTCCAATATTGTCCTCAGATTTAAAAGAAGGTGAGTCACTGTCCTAGTAAAGTTGACTCATTCTTTGAGTTCACCTGGAACAAACCAGTCCCCCAAAAAGGAAGCGTCAATGAAGGTAAAATGAAGAAAGTGTTAGGAGAGGGCAGGCACTCCACCAGTGCGAAATGAAAGATGAAGATGATGTGAGAGCACAGAAATTCCCTAAAATATCAAGGAGTTACTTAATAGGCCAAGGTTAGGAGAGTCTTTGCAATAAATACTCACTTATGCTGAAATAGTGTGGGCTGGGCCTGCCCCCTGCAGTACCCATGGAATGTGGGGAGAGTTGATCCTGCTAAAAGAATTCACCTACAGGCATTGAGAGTGTGACCCATGACATTTGTTCTACAAGCACTGGCTGGCTGATTAGGGAATGGGAACAAAAGGGCATAGTTCCTCCCCTCAAAGAATTATCAGTTGAGGAGGAAAAACAGACAAGTTAACAACATAAAATTGAATGAAACCAGGGCTACATGAAAGAACAAAGTGAAACCCCTTTTTTATAGTTGTTTGAATTTTAAGTTCAAGGGTACATGTGCAGGTTTGTTACATAGGTTACATTTGTGTCATGGGGGTTTGTTGTACAGATTATTGCATCACCAGGTATTAAGCCTAGTACCCATTATTTTTCCTGATCCTCTCCCTCCTCCTACCCTCCACCTTCTGATAGGCCCTAGTGTATGTTGTTCCCCTCTATGTGTCCATGTGTTCTCGTCATTTAGCTCCCACTTACAAGTGAGAACACGCAGTATTTGGTTTTCTTCCTGTGTTAATTTGCTAAGGATAATGGCCTCCACCTCCATCCATGTACCTGCAAAGAACATGATCTTATTCTTTTTTATGGCTGCATAGTATTCCATGGCTGATATGTACCACATTTTCTTTATCCAGTCTACCGTTGGGCATTTGGGTTGATTCAATGTCTTTACTATTTTGAATAGTGCTGTAATGAACATGCCCATGCACGTGTCTTTATAATAGAAAAATTTATATTCTTTGGGGTATATACCCAGTAATGGGATTGCTGGGTGGAATGGTATTTCTGTCTTTAGATCTTTGAGGAATCACCACACTGTCTTACACAATGGTTGAACTAATTTACACTCCCAGCAACAGTGTATAAGTGTTTCCTTTTCTTCACAACCTCCCCAGCATCTGTTTTTTGACTTTTTTAATAATAGCCATTCTGACTGGTGTGAGATGGAATCTCATTGTGATTTTGATTTGCATGTGATATCCCTTTTGACTGGGAGATTGGGGAAGGCTTCCCCACAGAGGTGGCATCTGTGTTGAACTCCAAGAAAAGACTAAGAATTAATGGGAAATGGGGGACGAGGCATTCACAGCTGAAGAGAACATTAGCCCAAGAACTGAAGAGTAAAAAGGCCTATCCCATTGGGTGAATGGCTAATGGCCTGATGTATTTGGAGTTAGGAAAGTGGGAAATATAGCTGAGAAGAAAATTTGGGACAAGATAAAGAGGCTAAATCCTTAGAGAACCCTGAATTTAATTTTCAGGACCTTAGATTTTACAACAGAGGAAACATGTGTAACAGCCGAAAGGGTTCACCTTGTCCGCTGCCTAGACAAAGCCAACTTATCAAGACAGGGGAATTGCAATGGAGAAAGAGTAATTCATGCAGAGCCAGCTGTGAGGGAGACTGGAGTTATATTACTACTCAAATCAGTCTCCCTGAGCACTCGAGAATCAGAGTTTTTAAAGATAAATTGATGGGTAGGGGCTTGGGAAGTGGGGAGTGCTGATTGGTCAGGTTTGAGATGGAATCATAGTGGTCAAAGTGAGGTTTTCTTGCTGCCTTCTGTTCCTGGGTGGGATCGCAGAACCGGTTGAGCCAGATTACTGGTATTGGTGGTGTCAGCTGATCCATCAAGTACAGGGTCTACAAAATATCTCAAGCACTGATCTTATGTTTTACAATAGCGATGTTATCCCCAGGAGCAATTTGGGGAGGTTCAAACTCTTGCAGCCAGAGGCTTCATGACTCCTAAGCTGCAATTTCTAATCTTGTAGCTATTTTGTTAGTCCTACAAAGGCAGATTGGTCCCCAGGCAAGAAGGGGGTCTTTTTGGGAAAGGGTTATTATCAACTTTGTTTCAGTCACACCATAAACTAAATTCCTTCCCAAAGTTAGTTTGGTCTATGCTCAGGAATGAACAAGGACAGCTTAAAGGTAAGAAGGAAGATGGAGTTGGTTAGGTCTGATCTCTTTCACTGTCAAAGGTGGTTTCACATGGAGTTTCTGATTATTCATTGAGGAAGTTATGTCATGATTGGATTTGCGTTTTGCAAAGATCATTCTATTAGAAGTTTTGAGAAGGAAGATTAGGAGGCAAGAAGGCCACTGAGGAAGACAGCCATGGAACAGGTGCATTCCTAAGAAGCTCGCAAGAGATTTTGAGGCTGCTGGGTCCTTGGGCCATGCTGTGAGTAAGGAGCTGTAGATTGTAACCAAGATAACCAAGGATCACTGGAAAGGTGACTCAGAGGAAAGGTGGAGGGGCAGGTAACTATGTACATTTTATGCTAAAGTAGACAGCCCTTCCCAAAGAAACATGAGAAAGGGCAAAGGCCTTGGCCAGTGGTTCTCAAACTTGGCTGCACAAATTTGGAATCATCAGAGGAGCTCTAGAAACAACTGGTGACTGGGCCACATCCCAAGAGATTCTGATGCAACTGGTCTGGGACATCACCTGGGAATCAGGATGTTTACAAGCACCCTAGGTGATTCTAATGCACAGCCAGGGGCTAAGAACCAAGTGTTACATATTACCAGGTGTGAATTACTGATGCAGGGACAAAGGACTCAAATGATAGTTACCTGGCTGGGTTTCCACAAGCTAGTAGAGTAAGAGTCTACTTTCTTCAGTGTTTTGGAAGATAATATATAATTTTTAAAATTCTACTAGTTGTTAATTTACTATTTTGAAATCATTGTTTAAATTATGTTTTCCCAACAACTTTCAGAGTCAAGCACATAAATTAGTACTTTTTTATTCCCACATCTTTAGATAAAACCTTCATTTTCTTTTTCCTCTATTTTCTTTGTTAATATAATCTGGGGTTCTATATATAAATTATAGTTACTATACTATTTTTAACATTAGAGTACTTACATTTCAAGAGTATTTTTGGCTTTTTCATTTAATTTTAAAAACAGATGTACAGTCTCCACATTTTTACTTTAATTGGTTTCGGTGTCACCAATAGTCATTTTTTTAACCATTGTTTTCTTAGTTTTATATTTTGTATTCAGGAAATGTCTTCAAGAATTTTTTTTTTTTTTTTTTTTTTGAGACAGAGTTTCACTCTTGTCACCCAGGCTAGAGTGCAATGATGTGATCTCGCCTCACTGCAACCTCCACCTCCCAGGTTCAAGCAGTTCTCCTACCTCAGCCTCCCAAGTAGGTGGGATTACAGGCATGAGCCACCACGCCCAACCAAGAAATTTGTTTTTTTTAAATGCCAGCATATTTTGTGAATCCTTATGTGATGGACAAATTTATGTGTCCATTTGGCTAGGCTATGGTGCCTCATTGTTTCATCGAACACCAGTCTAGATGTAAAGGCATTTTGTAGATGTGATTATTTACAATTAGTTGATTTTAAGTAAAGCAGATTGCCTTCCATAATGTGGGTGGGGCTCATCCAATCAGTTGAAGCCATTAAGAGCAAAAACTGAGGTTTCCCTGAGAAAAAGGAAGTCGGCCTCCATCAGCAACAGGAACCCGGTCTGAGTTTCTAGATTGCAGGCAGATTTCAGACTTGCCAGCCTCATGATCACATGAGACAATTCCTTAAAATAAACAATTTAGGAGGAATTTAGGAGGCTACATGTTCTTTCATGTAGCTCTAGTTTCATTCAATTTTATGTTGTTAACTTATCTGTTTTTCCTTCTAAATTACTAATTCGTTAAAATAAATCTCTTTCTCTCTATATATATATACACACATACATATATACACACACACAGGCATATATATTTAGCTGCATAGAAACTTTGATATAGTATATATAGAGAGATTATATACATATTTCTATTATATATAGAAATATATTATGTAATATGAATATGTAAATATAAATATATAGATTTCTATTATATAAAATATATATTATATATTATAATATATAGTAGTTTCTATTACATATAATAGAATATATTCTGAGAGACATAAATTTTTATTATATATAAAAGATCTATTATAATATATTGTAGTTTCTATTATATATAATAGTATATATATATTCTATTGTTCCTAATAGAATATATATACTTATAATATATATATATTCTATTGTTTCTGTTTATATATATATTCTATTGGTTCTGTTTCTCTGGAGAACTCTGACTGATACACCTAGTATGTTCTGGCAATGTCTTTTTATAGCTATTAAACATGAACAACTTGGCTGAGTGAAAAATTCCTGGGCCACAACTTTTAACCTCTGTGAACTTTCAACCCTTGGTGTTGGAGAGCAGTCAAAAGACAGCCCAGCATTTATTCTTTTTTTGTGTAATCTGATATTTAGGCCTGGCAACTTGTAGAATTTTTTTCTCCAAGAGTTAAAAGTTTTTGCCAAGAAGTCCTTAATTTAGGGCATTTTCCATTAACATGCCTTAGAACCCAAGTGAGTCTTTCAATCTGCGTAACTTGAATCTTTCTCTAAGGGAATTTTCTTCTCTTAACGTATTTTCTTTGTTCTAATACAAAATTAATTGAAAAAGTACATCACTGACTACTTTTGGGCAGGAGGGAATGACAGGCAAAATTTAAAACATAAGATGCATCTTAATTTCAGAAAAATCAAAATGACGGAAACAGTATAATAGAAAACGTGAGGCACTGATTTCACCTGCATTTGTTTTGATCTTCCCTTGAGGATTTTTGGTGTTTGGGTTTTCTATTCTCCATTCTCTATTTCTATCATATTCTCTCTCACCATTTTCATCTCACTGTCTTTTCCCTGCATACTCAGATTTGCATAGTATGTCACTTAGGCATGTTCCTACCTCAACAAGTGAGTGCTTTACTATCTTCAAATGTGATTTTAAGTTCAGCATTTGTGGAGTTATCTCTTTTCTTTACATCCTTTCCAATCTTGTACATGTCTACTTTTCTCATCCAGGTGTCTTTGAATAATTGCCTATAATCTTGTGATTTTTGTTCCCGATATGTATTTGGTTGGTGCATAATGGCAAAAACCACAATTACTTTTGCACCAATGTAGTACAAGCCCTGCTTTTATGCACATTGCTGGGAATGCCACAAGGTTTCTGAAAAATGTCCTCAGGATACTGCTGGTGACCACTTTGAGAGCAGGCCTGTCCCCTGCATCTTCTGGACATACCACTTCCTTTTGGAGTTTTGCTCAACTTTTCCCATAGGTCCCATTTCCCTCTTCCCTGGCCGGCTTGACTCCCTTTCTCTCCACAGGTAGTCTACATCTTTCCTACCACTCACTTCTTTGGCATTTGAGGCCACCTCTCAGAACCATAGCCAAGGGTAAGGTTGCTGTGTAGGCTCCTGATCAAATTCCCCATTCCCAGTAACCTCTCCCTTTTGCTCCCACAGTTATTCATCCTCCTACCTGGTTCTCTGGACCACTGAGGCAATACCTGCATACAATCAACCCCAGAATGCACTGCTCTCAGGCCACTTCCTGGTTTTATCAGAGACCTCCCTATGGGTCACAAAGTGATTGTGAGAAGGTAAAAATGGTTCCAACAGCTGGCAGCCAACAGCTAACAACTAGGCTGAAGCAAAATGTTCCCAACTGAACATAAATAACTTTCACAGAATA
Source organism: Homo sapiens (assembly GCF_000001405.40). Taxonomy (NCBI): domain Eukaryota; kingdom Metazoa; phylum Chordata; class Mammalia; order Primates; family Hominidae; genus Homo; species Homo sapiens. The sequence goes on along the minus strand of NC_000020.11, from coordinate 4,452,227 downwards.
TAAGCAATAATCAGAAAAGGCTACTCTGTGACCACGCCTAAAACTCGACAGAGACAAAGCCATACCTCAACCACCAAAATAAAGACTCTCTTTTTATTTTTGCTTTTCTCACTGATAGGAGTAACCATTGTTTCTTTACCAATGACAACTCTCTGAAACTGCTTCAATCCATTTACCTACTGGATAAAAATTACAAAGACACCCAGTCACCAAGTTTCCAGCACTTTCTGTAGAACTGGCCCCAGTTCTTATAAGCAACTGATGCATAATTCTAAACATTTTAATGTATGAATAAGGGCTAATGACCAGTACTTGGCCTCCTAGTATTCTAATGTGTGACTAGGTTGTTCTGAGGATTCAGATTTGGTGTTCTCTGAAATATGGCTCACACTTTGTGATTGCAGAGTTCCTCCCACGTAGGCATCAGGGGCACTCTGTTCTCTGCATCCTCAGTGCTGGGGGTGATTAAGAATTGAGTGGCTCAGCTTCAGTGGGCTTGGCTGCCTCTTGGCTCTCCTTCACCTCCTTCATCTTCCAGTAGACTAGCCCAGGCTTGTTCTCACTTCTGCTGTATTCCATTAAACAAAGCAAGTCATGAGACCAGCCCAATATTCAGAATGGGTGGGGACTACAAAGTTACAGGGCAAAGGGCATGATATTAATACTACTGGGTGGCCATGGAAGAAACCCAGCAATGCTACTGTTTAACCTCTCTGTGTCTTAGCGTCTTCACCTGTAAAACAGAGAAAATAATACCCACCTCATAGAGTATTGTAGGGCCTAAAGATGTTAATATCTGCAAAATGTAGAGACTAGTGCCCAGCACCCAGTAGGCAATATGTAAATGTCTGGTTATTATTATTGCCTTGAGTTGGTTAGAGTTTCAAATTAAGGCACTTCTTGCCTTATAGTTTCACGTTTTTCTTGGTTTTATTTAATTATCTATCTGTTTGCTTAACCCTACCGTAGGTAGTGACAGGTACATATTTTCATCACAAGTGGTTTGGGCCCACTGTTGTCAGCTATCAGGCCTTAAGATACATATGCATTTGGAGTAACAAGATATCCATTTTCTTATTGTTAAAGCAGATATCTATGTAACTCCCTCTGAATTTACTTGCTCAGTATCACTTTATTAGCTGTGCTTCCCTTGAACTTGTCTTATTAGAATAACTTGCAATCAAATCCCAAGGTATGTCTAATAAAATTACTGTGTTATTTTTAAGGGTCTAGAGCATCATTTTCTAATGTAAAATTTTGTATACATTCATATTGCAACTGCGTTTTCTTCCCTCTCCGATTCTCAGTCAGTGCTCTTCTCCACTGGCAAATGGGATCGGGAAGGCAGACCCCCTAGAATTTTGCAGTGCACAACCTGTGTGACTATATACAACAGCCTGGGGACTGTCACACCATCTAAGTGAGGTTCAGTCAAATAAAGTTGAACCACCCATTAAGAGTAACCTCCAATGTAATGCTCACTGTACTCTGTTCCTGAGGAGTTTATTTTACTGGTTTATCTTTATTGTTTTTCATAATACAAGGCAAATGCTGCTTACACAGGGTTTTCAGCCTAAGCCAGCCATTAGACGGATGCCGGGACACCTTTCAGGTGGTTGGCCTCACAGTGTGACTCGCTTTCATTTCACAGAGCTTGGCCAGATCCAGTGAGCTTTCTTATATGTGTCTCCTATTATGCTCACCATGGCCAGCAGGGGTAAGAACCATTTTCCTTCTGCAAAACACACACCAGACTTCGCGTGGTATGTGCAAGGTCAGATAGTGCATTTTAACACTCCAACTCAGAAGCAGCTTCTAACTCCAGCTTCTAGCACTGCTCACTACACTATACTTTCTCTTTTAGAAAAACTGCAAAAAGGAAGGAATAAAGAAAGCAGAGCATTGAGGTCAACAACAGGCTATTTCTAAAGATAAAACTGCTGTTTGGGTACTGGTGGGTTGCAACTATTAAATCTCCCCAGACAAGCCACTTAGAGTTACTGTTGCGTAAGAGAAAAGCCTTTTAAATTGGTTTTCAAATAGAGAGAGTATTTTTCTTCGGCCTTACAGAACTGCAAAAATGACTGAACACTTTGGGCTATACATTTTTTCAATCTTTTCCAAGTGAAATCACCTTTGGTAGAGGACCAAGAATGGAAAATTTCAGCTTGAAAAAATAACTTTGTAAAGCCATGCAGCAATTTAGAAAAAGTGGTGGAAAGAAAGCGTGTGTGTAACCGCAGGTGGTAATCCTGGTTGGTCCGACACGGTTGGGGAATAGGCTATTTTGAATAGATACATTTCTATATAACTGAAGCATAACTGATTGTTGTTTTGCATGAAAATCCATTGATGGTTTTGTTGTTAACTGTTTAAAATAATGTAGTGCAAGTATTTTTAGAAGAGTATTTAAATAAATTTGGGGACCACAATTTCATATTTAATGTCTTTATGATACAAATGAAAAAGTGAATTCCAGATATTTGGAATGTTTTTAAAAATCTCTCAGTGTATATGCTAGAAGTACTTACATTTACATTACCTGGAAATAACTAACCAGGAAGGCAAGTTTTTTAATCAGCCAATATTCAGACAAGGCAACTCTGTCTAAACCATGCCCAAAACATGACAGAGACAAGGCCATACCTCAAATTGGTATTTTTGGTAAGTTTTTAAAAATCAAGATTTTCTAAAAAAATTGGAAAGTTGTAAACAAAGAGTAGAAAATAAAAATAACCTATGGCCACTATTCAGAGATAACAGCATTAACTATTTGCTTTTTTTTTTTTTTTTTTTTTTGAGGAGTCTTGCTCTGTTGCCCAGGCTGGAGTGCAGTGGTGCAATCTTGGCTCACTGCAACCTCCACCTCCTGGGTTCAAGCAATTATCCCACCTCAGCCTCCAGAGTAGCTGGGACTACAGGTGCCCGCCACCACACCTGGCTAATTTTTGTAATTTTAGTAGAAACGAGGCTTCAGCATGTTGGCCAGGCTAGTCTCAAACTCCTGGCCTCAAGTGATTCACCCTCCTAGGCCTCCCAAAGTGCTGGGATTATAGGCATTAGCCACTGCACCCCAACCTATTTTCTTTTATTCTTAGAGTCTCTGTGATTGTATGTGTACAAATTTAATTTTAACTATTTTTATAAAAATGAGATTATACTCTACAAATTATTTTTTAATTTTTTTTCACATAATAACATATTTTATGAGGTAAAACTTTAATATCATTTCCAAATAAACCCAGGTCCCCAAACTGTATTCTCCCTCACAACTGTGAATGTCTCCTTTTATGCTTTTGATTAGCTCATTTAATCATTTTATTTGGCTACCTTGCTATTTCTGTCTATTATTCCAGGAACAAAGTATTTAAATTACAAGGTTTTTATAATTTTTCTTAATTTGCAGGATAAATGAAATCTTTAGAATTCTTAACTTTTTTTCTTGGCTATTCTTTCTTGATGTTCTTCTAAAAGACCTTTAGGTAATTCTATGGAAGTCTCAAGAAAGAAAAATTATTAAACAGATGTTAGAGATTAATTTGGGTAGAATTTGAGTCCTTACAATATTATCCTCCCATACTAGAACATTTTATATCCCCCTAATTTATCAAACTTTTCTTTTATATCTCTTGGTAAAGTTTTCCCACATAAACAATGTTATATACAATGTATAAAATGTCCTGTGTCTTCCATTTTAGTTTTATACTTTGTATTTCTTTTTCTTGGGTTACTTCACTAGCTAAGACTCCCAGAACAATGATGAACAGAAAGGGAGAGAGATGACATACTTATTTTGCCAGTTTATAGATGCTTTATGTCAGGTTAAGGAAGTTTTCTCTATTTCTAGTTTTCTGAGAGCTTTTAATCATGAATAGATATGTAATTTTATCAGTTACCTTTCCTGCATGTATCGAGATCATCACTTGGTCTTTATCCTTTAATCTGTTATTGGCTTTTCTAATGTTAAACTTTCTTGTATTCCTGGGATCAAACCAACTTGGTCATGATAATATTTTCTTGAGTTGAACTTGGTAATTTTTTAATACCTTGCAAATAAGTTCACAAGTGAGATTAGTCAATAATTTTTCTTTCCTTATGTCTTGCCTGCTATGGGTATCAAAGTTACACCCATGTCATAAAATTCATTGGAAAATATTCTTTATTTCCCTATGATCTGAAATAGTTTGCATATGTTTGAAATTATCCATTACTTAAATGCTTGATAGAATTTGACTTTGAAACCATCAGAGTCTAGTATATTTTTGAAGAAAAATTTTAAACTACTAATTCAGTTTCTTCAAGGTGTAGTTATAAAATACTTATCTATTTCCTCTCAGGTCCATTTTATTAAGTGGTATTTTTAAAAGAATTTATCCATTTCATATCTATTTTCTAATTTATGATTTAAAAAGTTATTCCTTATACTCTCTTCCTATGTTTTTAGTTTTTTTACATCTGTTGTAGTTTTTCCTCTTTTCTTTCTAATATTACTTTATTTGGTTTTTGCATTTTTATTGATTGATCTAGCCAGATATTTGCCTATTAATATTTTCAAAGAACCAACTTTTAGTTTTATTAATGCCCTAAATTATAAAACATTTACTAGATTTTGGATTTTTATTTTTAACTTGATGTTTCATTTCTTCTACTTCTTTGCATTTATTTTTCTTTTTAAAATAACTTCTTAAGTTCATGCTAAGTTCGTTAAGTCCTAGCCTTTCTTCTTTCTTAACATAAGCATTTAAAATATTAACTCTTCATTTACTATACTTCTTTAGCTGCATCTGTAAGTGTTGATATTTGATTTTTTTGGTTATAGTTCAGGTTTTTAAACCATCTTTTCAATATTATTATGATTTCTTTTTTTGCTCAGTGAGTTGTTTAAATAATTCATTTAGAAGAGTAATTTTAAATATGTGAATACAGGGGAGGCACACACTGAGTCCCAAACAGTGAAACCTGTTTCCTTTGTCAGAACAACAGACACAGGGCATGCAGCTGCCAGCAAGTGCCTAGATAGAGACACAGTGACACTAAGAGGGAGGAGGGGTGGAAACAGAGATTGAGGTTTAAAATATGATGATAAACTTAGATGCCAACTCTGCCAATTAATAGCCGAGACTCATTCCTCTATAAAGGAAAATAACAATATCAGCGGCTAAGTTTTTTAAATATGTATCCTTTAACTACAATGATGTCTCTGAAGACTGCCAGTGTTTGTTCTCTTTTCACAGGTGAATAAAAATTATAGCTTTAAAACATTACGTGACTATTATTGTGTGGTAAAGAATTTAATCTTGCCTAAAGGGAGGTGTGACCATTACCCTAGGCTCTTGGAGGTGATCTCCAACCCCTTAGAATGTCATACCTGATAGGAGTGTCTTTGCTTGCTGGGGTTGGGGTGGGGAGACTTAGACCAGCCAGATGGCAAAAAATGTGATTTAGGGTGGAGTTTTAGGTCACCCAGTATGAGATTGACTTCCTGAGGGACTAGAAATTGACATCAGCCATGTAGACAATCCACCATGCCTAAGTAATGGAACTCCAATAAAGACTCTGGACTCTATTATACACACAATCTCTGCTTCCTCCTCTTAATTCTTCTGTGAGCCTAAATCTGCTCCAAAAATTAAATTCTATCTATTAAACACACACACTCACTCACTCACTCAAGATTGAATTATGCTAAGGTTTGCCTTCCAGGGTTCCATCCTGCCTGGGACACCAAAAGAGACAGCCTTTAAACCTAAGCAAAGAAGTCAGGGTCCCTCTGGCTGGATCTCCCCAAACAATAGCACCAAAAATTCTTCCCCCACCTCTCTGATGGTCCTACAAATCCTGCATGAGAGCATCTCCTATGCCCTGAACATCTGCTGAGATGCAAAGGCCCCTAGGAGAGGGTCTCAGGGTCATTTCCCCTCTGTGTGAATGTGTTTGTTAGAGCCCCTCCAGAGGGTGGGAAGCAGGCTGAAGAGGGACAGAAAACACCTGAACAGGGGTCTTCAGACCTGTAGCACACAGCACTCAGCACAGGAAACCTTTGACTAACCAAGGCTGATCCCAGGTCTCAGCTCACCACTGCTCCCAGAGAAGGCACTGCCACTTCAGGTCTCAGGTCTGCATGTTCACACGGGCTTTCTGTAGAAATGCTTCATTCTTATGGGGGAATTGCAGGCAGCATGCCAGTCTGTGCAGGGCCAAGTTTGGGGAATGCACAGACTTTTTAGATTTTAAAGCCACACTCCGTAAGGGCTGCCTACTCTGTTTATGTGTAACTGCTTCCAAACATGAATTCCACTCATCCACCCCACCCTGTGCTGTGAAGCCAGTGGTTGCCATTAGCGGCGAGAGGGATGGGAAAAGTTATCAGGGTCACTGGAGGGAGGGAAAGGTCAGGAGTTGGGTAGAAAAAAGACTAAATAAGAAAGGAAATGTGTCCTTCCTGCTGTAAATCCCATTGAAAAAGAAGGAACTGAACGCAGAACCCTATGGAGCTCGTTCCATGTGCATTATGGAACCTGCCACCACCCAAAGCCCTCACCTGGGTTGGCCCTGGAGACTTGTTTGTTCTGGCTTAGGACTGCCGGCCCATTTTGCCAGCCACCCCCAAGTCTAAACTGGCACAGCAGAGTGTGGGCGTGAACTCTATCTTTGGAAGTTCTTCCTCTCTCACCATTAAAAATAACCCATCCCAGCTGTCCAATGTGGTTTGCAACAGACCCTCACAGTGACCCCACTCCTACAACCAAGGAAAATAGAGATGATCTATTGAGTGTGACATGGGTCTCCCAGCCACTGCCTCATTCTCTCCTCCCCACAACCATTTCTCCCTGTTCAAGACTTCTTGGAAACACTTGATTTCAGGAAAAATCATCAGGTTATAAAGCCATGTGCAACATCTCAGTCCATTTTGTGCTGCTGTTACAGAACACTGAAGACCAGGTAATTTGTAAGGAACAGAAATCTATTATTTCAGAGTTCTGGTGGCGGGGAGGTTACAATCAAGGCACAGGCATCTTGCAAGGGCCTTCTTGCTGCATCATCAGATGGTGGAAGGCAGAAGGGCAAAGCGACAAAAGGGGACCAAACTCCCCCTTTTATAATGGCATTAATTCCACCCATGAAGGCAGACTAATCACCGCTCAAAGGTCTCTTAATACCTCTTAATACTGTTATAATGGCAATTAGATTTCAACATGACTTTTGGAAGAGACAAATAGTCAAACCACAGCATGCAGTATAAAGTGACAAAGACAATTATTTGGTGATGCCTGGAATTTGGGATTCATAAATATGAGTGACTAGGGAGGAATAAAAAGCCACAGTTGGTGGGAAACCCCAGGGTAGTCCTTTCCCTAGAAACAAGGGCCATCATCAATGGGACAGAAACAAAGAAAAACAATTTATTGTGACCTTGAATCATGTTCATGAGTGGTGATTTCTTTCTGTGGTCAACCATTCTAAGCAAGAACTGCTTGAGTGCATGTGATTCATTTCTGCAAACTTGTTCTAACCTGAGCTTTTAATTTTAGACTAGAGATCCAAGTTAAATATTTCATGTGAACAGACCAAGAATAGAAAACGAGAAAAAAAGAAAGATAGAAAGCCCTTCATTACACAAATTGCAATGCATATTCAACCAACATTCATGGAGTGCCAACGATGAGTCAGGCATTGTATTCCAGATATTTCTGCATCTACTAATATCCCTCATCATACCACACCATTCAAAACCATGCCATCTTGGATTCCATTTCCTTTACAAGGAGACTACTGGTCAACTTATGCATGCAAAGTTTTCCTGGTAGAGTTACCACTCCTTTTGGCCCCACTCTGCCTGGCTCCAGAGGAATGACTTTTTCAAGGTGGTATAGCCCTGAATGGGCTGAATAAGAGAGAAGATATCTGGAACAGCCACCAGTACGTGGCTATCTGTAAGTCTTAGCAAGGAATTGCTGAGTGGCCTGTTTCAGCCCATCTCTCTGGGGCTGCTTGTCCAATATCCTATCTTCCATGATTTGGTAATAGTCTCTCTTTTCCTGCCTGCTGTGGACAGCAGAAGTTGGGCTCACAGGGTCCAAACCATCATCTCCTTCCAGTCCTGGCTCAATGAACAGCCCCAAGTGTGGTTGGAATAGCTGTGAGCACCTCGTGTGGGCAGGGATGGGCTCCGTATCACCTTTCTCCAAACCACCTGCAATGATTTGAATGTATGTGTCCCTCCAAAATTCATAGGTTAAAACCTAATCACCAAGGTGATGGTATTAGGAGGAGGCTTCTGGGAAGTGACTGATTATAAGGGCTCCACCCTCATGGAACGGGATTAATGCCCTTACAAAAGAGGCTTGAGAGAGTTGCCTCCAGCTTCCACCTTCTGCTACGTGAGGACGCGGTAACAAGGCACTATCTTGGGAGCAAAGAGAGCAACCCTCCCTTACCAGACACCAAGCCTGCCAGCACCTTGATCTTGGACTTCCCAGCCTCCAGAACTATGAAAAATAAATTTCTATTGTTTATAAATTATCCTATCTAAGGTATTTTGTTATAGCAGCAGGAAAGGACTAAGACACCTCCTGTTCCCATGTCCAAACTGGGACCTCCCTGGGGGGATGACAACTCCCCAAAGTCCCTCCACACTGGGGAAAGAATAAGACCTGGGGTTTGGCGCACCTCCAGGAGCCTGGTTCTAACCTGTGGGATGAAATTACTGAGCTTTATTTTCTTCTCATAAGATTTTTTAAAATTTAGAACTTCACTCCACATCCAGCCATATTTGATCATGTTTAGCTTTTGGCTTTAGAGATGGTATTGGGCCAATAGCCTCCATGGAGAAAAACGCCTTACTTCCTTGCCCACCCAGGACCAGGACAGCTGATTGCTGAGGAATGTCATTTCCCCGCCTGGCACCAGGTCACTTCCTGATCCTAAAAGGCTCCACTCAAGTCAGCTCCTGCCCAGCCCCTGGGGCAATGCCGGACAAGGCTCCAGCAAACTGATTAATGTGTCCTGGGCCAGACAGGTTCCTTGGTGGCTATTTTTACTCACTCACTCACTTGGTGTTTTAGACAAATCCTACAGTCATGCCAATCCTCCTGCAGCCTACCACCCGCAGTTTATAAATCCCACCACTGAAATGTAGGTCCTATTTATAGTGTGAGCTAAATCCTGTAAAGTGCAATCATTCATTAAACCCCACATAGATCTCCCCATGCCCTGGGCGAGGCCAATGAGCGGGAAACACAAAAGGCAGAAAATGTTTGTTTAGAAGGCATTAGCTGCAGATACTTCCTCCCAAGCCACCTTATAGGTAGGCAGAGACCTTTGGTGAATAATCCAGGGTAACATTTAGGCAGCTTCTCAGGGCCTCATAAATAAGTAGTATCTGGATAGCAAGGGGAGAGAATTTTTTTTAATTTCCTTTTTTTTCTTTTTTGAGACAGAGTCTCACTCTGTCGCCCAGGATGGAGTACAGTGGCGCAATCTTGGCTTACTGCAACCTCTGCCTCCAGGTTCAAGCAATTCTTCCACCTCAGCCTCCCAAATAGCTGGGACTACAGGCACCTGCCACCACACCTGGCTAATTTTTGTATTTTTAGTAGAGATGGGGTTTCACCATGTTGGCCAGGCTGGTCTCGAACTCCCCGCCTCAGGTGATCCACCCACCTTGGCCTCCCAAAATGCTGGGATTACAGGCATGAGCCATCACACCTGCCCAATTTCCATTTCTATTTTACATTCAGGAGGTACATGTGCAGGTTTGTTACAAGGGTATATTGTGTGATGCTGAGATTTAGGCTTCTATTGATCCCATCAGCCAGATAGCAAACATAGTACCCAATAGGAAGTTTTCCAGCCCTTGCTCTCTCCCTCCCCCTCTTCTTTTGGAGTCCCCAGTGTCTATGGTTCCCATCTTTATGTCCGTATGTACCCAAGATTTAGCTCCCACTTATAAGTGAGAACATATGATATTTCATTTTTCTGTTTCTGAATTAATTTACTTAGGATAATGACCTCCAGCTGCATCCATGTTGCTGCAAAGGACATGATTTTATTTTTTTCTGTGGTTGCATAATATTCCATTGTGTATATGTGCCACATTTTCTTTATCTAATTCACCACTGACGGGCACTTAGGTTGACTTCACATGTTTGCTATTATGAATAGTGCTGCGGTGAACATACAACTGCAAGTGTCTTTTTGGTAGAGCGATTTATTTTCCTTTTGGTATTTACCCAGCAATGGAATTGCCAAGTTGAATGGTAGTTCTATTTTTAGTTCTTTGAGAAATCAGAAGATAAATCTTTAATTTTACACCTACCATTAGCTAGGAACTATAAATGATGCATTGCTTTATCCCTGAAAGCCCCATTTTATACCCATGAGAAAAATGAACCTCAAAGAGCCAAGAATTTGCTCATGGAAAGTGGTAGATCCAGGTTTTAAATGCAGGTCAGACCCAGTCCCTGTGTTTATCCCGTATGCTATGCTGAGATGTCTTGGATGAATGTGCTTATGGTGAAGCCTCAGCAAAATTGTGGGTACACCCAGCTTTGTCTCCTGGCCCCAAATCTCCTTTTCCTTACTTTGGGCATTAACTGCTGTTGAGGTCTCACAGCCTGATGGTCATTATCCCTGAATGGCATAAATCAACAGGCTGTATGAGCATTGTGTGAGATTCTACATGAGGGAGAGCATTTCAAACCCATGACAGATGAGAGAAGTTAGTACCTCCATCATCTTTCTGTAGCCTGGGAGCTCCCATCACCATTCTGAGCATGTGGGGAAGCCTTGCCTCTTCTGAGGCTAAATAATCCACCCCTAGGGTTTTCAGGGACTCTAAAACTAAACTGGCTTGTGCCGCAGTCAAGGCATTTGAGGACATTCCTATCATGTCTCTCATCCTGTACAGCTTGGAATCCATAAAAGAGCAACTCTTGGCTGGGCATGGTGGCTCCTACCTGTAATCCCAGCACTTTGGGAGGCTGAGGCGGGAGGATTGCTTGATCTCAGGAGTTCAAAATCAGCTTGGGCAACATGGCGAGGCCCTGTCTCTACAAAAAATAAAAAATTAGCCTGGCATGGTGGTGCACACCAGTAGTCCCAGTAACTTAGGAGGCTGAGATGGGAGGATTGATGGGAATATTGCTTGAACTTTGGAGGTTGAGGCTTCAGTGAGCCATGTTTGGGCCGCTGCATTCTAGCCTGGGCAACAGAGCAAGACCCTGTCTCACAAAAGTGGGGGAAACTCCCTCCCCAACCCTTCATCCTTTGCAGACCTTATCTTTTTCTCCTCCTGGATCCCCTCAATAGATACCCAGCCTACCCATCCCTATTCCATCCTAGTACCTCTCTGGAACTTTCCTTCCATTATAAGCAAACCCCCTTGTGTCCTAAACCACTAGCAGGAACTCTCCCTAAGGACCGTGACTTTTCTGCAGCCCTCTTCATTGTGGGCTGCTCTTCTCATACTCACACACCACTGAGACATCCTCCTGATCCCATTTTACTCCTCTGATGATGGTTTGGACCCTGAGAGCCCATTGAGTAAAAATCCCTCTTCCTTTGATGCTCCCATCATCCAGGTCTGCCACTCTGTGGCTCATCTGGTTAGTTTAAACTGCCCACCTCCTCGCCTTGCCATCTCATTCACTAACCACTTGAATTCCAGCCTGTTGTCCTTCCTCTGCACCATTTCCTGATGTTGTTCTGGGTGATCCCAGCGAGCTGGCCCTCTGACAGCCCATCTGCACACTTTGTGTTTTCCTCCTAGGTGCTTGCTCTATCACTTCTGTTTTATCTCAGCCTTTCAGTTCCACTGGCACTGGCGGATTGGCCACGCTTTCAACCCTGGATTCCTCCACTTCTCTTCTTCTACCTCTTAGAGGTCTCTGTCCCTTGACACGCCTCCCATATCATGTATCTTGCATCTCAGCTGCATCCTGGCCTGTTTTCTGTTTTGTTTTGTTTTCTCTCAGATGGAACACTTTCATCGGATTGTCTTCTATCCAGAACGCTCAGTTTCCTTGTACATGTATCTGTCTGCCTCACCTGTCCTGCAAAATGCACACCCAGGGTCAATACCCAATCCATTTTCTCCACTTCTGAAGCCAAGGGTTGCTGGAGAAAATCAGATCATTATAAATTCAAGTTCTCCAAACTTAATTTGGTGCCTGAATTAAGCAATTCTGTTACTCATCTTCTGGGGGAGGGAGAGGAAGATTCATCTCCCTCCACCATCTCAATTATTCTAAACTTCTTTGCCCTCATAGAGCCCCTACTGAAGCCTTCCCCTGCTTCTCACTGTCAGTGATGACTCTGCCTTCTGCTTCATGGAGACATGAACGCCATCAGACATGAACACCAGCTTCCTATCCCTACACCCTCATATGCCTATCTACACTCACAGCCATCCCCTACCTTCCCCTGTACAAGGCCAGCCCCTCAATCCAGTCTTCCTCTTTCCCTAACACTTTCCATTTGTCTTTCTCCGCTGGAAACTTCCTCTCAGACTCTAAACAAGCCTGACATCCGAAACAGTCATGTTTATTTGTTGCCCTCTGTCTGCTCTGTAATTGCTCTCCTTCCCTATTCGTCCACATCCTTCCAGAAGACTTGGCACTGTTTTACCCATGAAATCAGACCTTGCTTTTGCCAATTACTCCAACTACTCTCCCAGCAAAGTCACACATTACCTCTATACCATGTTCAGTTCTAATCTCGCTGGATTTCTTTGTATCTTTGGAATTCTCCGTCTCAGTCTACTAGGGCTGCTATTTTTTAAAATGCCATCAGCTTGATGGCTTAAACAACAGAAATTTATTTCTCATGGTTCTGGAGGCTGAGAAGTCTATATGGTTCCTTGTGGGGGCTCTCTTCCTGGCTTGCAGATGGCCACGTTTTCACATGGTGGAAGAGAGAGAGAGGGAGAAACCTCTCTGCTCTCTTATAGGGGCATTAATTCCACCATGAGAACCCTGCCCTCATGACCTCATCTAAATCTAAAGGCCAAAGGCCTCATCTAAATAAATTTGAATCCCAAGGTCTCATCACCAAATACTATCACATTAGGGGTTAGGGCTTCAACATATGAACTCTGGGAGAATACATCCCGTCCATAGCACACTCCCTTCTCTTTAAAACATTCTATTCCCTTCCCTTCCATATGACTGCACTCTCCTGAGGTCTCTCTAGCACTGCCTTCTCTCCTTTTTGGGGACCCTCTTCCTTTGCTTGCCCCTCGAAAGTCAGTCCATCCCCACTGCTCTCTAACTCCTACAATGACCTTATTAGCTTTCAGTTTTAATTGCCACCATATGCGGATAACTTCCAGATCCACCCCTCTATCTTAGACCCTCATGCACTCACAGAAGACTCACAGACACTGACCATCCTTGGATGCCCCATGGGCACCTCGAACTCAACAGACCTAAAATAGCATTCATTACCTTTCCCACCTCCAAATCGCTCCTGATTTTGGATTCTGTCTCTCAACTGGGGGCTTCACCACACACAGCCAACAAATTAGAAACTTGAGGGTCACCCCTGAACCCTTAATCTTCCTTACTCTCTACATCTATTCACTGAATTCAGTCAATCCATTTGACTTCCTCAAAGCCATGGCTGAACAGCAGTATAAAAGCCATTTAAGCATTTATGGGATTTTCCAAAACAATACAATCACCTCCTTAGTAAACTAAATGAGTCCCACACCGCCAGTCAGAAAGAGTGTAAAATAATGTTTTTCAAGATGGAATTACCGGGGTTTCTTTCTAAATACAGAGAAGAGATCAAACCTACAGAAGCAATAGTTAAAGTTGCATTGTTGACACTAAAAGGTCACATGATTGCCAATAAGCTCATAAAAACAGCTGCAAAGATATTCACAGAGATGATACTCAGAAAGGAAGTAGAATGATGTTTTACCAGGTATCACTTTAGGATATCATGTGAAATATGAATTTCTCCTACCTGTGTATGTATTAGCTTACATTTTGTTTTTCTGTTGGGATCTAAGCAACAGTGTACACACAGACCATAAATCTACCGCTTGAAAGCTCCTCGTATTTGTATGAAAGAAGTGGTTTACAGAATGCTTCATTTTCTTTACCCTTGGAAACCCAGGCTACAAGGGAAGAGATTTTTTTATATGAAAAATAATTCTTTTGAAAGCTGTGATGGAGACAAGTATGTGCAAAAAAGGTTGTAGTCACCCCAAGAATGACCTTGACTACTAATTTGCACATGGCTTCACTCAAGAGCAATTGGCCTTGATTAAGCGTGGTAGGCAGTGGTGGGCTCGGGGAGGGTCCAGTTCTCTGTACTTCTATGAGCCCCATGTGGGTCTCTCAACTAGGGTACTGGGACTGCTGATTCAGGGAGAATATTCTTGTTAGATCATTGCCCTCATCACGCTGAACTAAAATATTATGTATCTGCTCCTGTATTAGACAGTGAGTGAGTGGAGGTTAGTTCAATGCCTGGCACACAGTCGGTGCTGGGTAATGATAGCTGAGTGAATCAACAAGGTAGTCAATCAGAAAACGGAATTGAAAGCAAGATGGGGTTTATTTCTTCAGAAATTAAACCTGGGGAGCATTTTTCACACCTCCCTGGATAACATATCTCGTGTCATGCCCTTATTCCCCAAAGAGAATTCAAATCACAAGACCTTGGGAAAAAGCTGACTATCAAAGCGGGTGGACTCTGGTCTGGACACAAATAATTCACAAGAAACAACTCTGGCAGCCAACTACCCTCCTGAATTAGGCAGTGGTGAAAAGGGCAGGCAGATCCCTGGGGAAGTTTCTCTCTCAGCCCCCGAACCTGCTTCCAAGTAGAGTTCTAGATCAAAAGAGGGAGGAATTGAGTTCATGTGCAATGTTAGTGCCAACATTATGCCAAGTGCTGTGAGCTCTACCCATGTCTCAAAGTCCATCTCTTTTGAAAGTGCCCCTATCTCTCCTCTGGCTCTATTCACTCTTCTTTTCTATTAACATTAACATTACTCTGTGCTGGCACCATGACAAGCATTCAATGACAGAGATGGGGTGTAACTGAACCCCAACATTTTTGCCCCCTTGTTGCTGTTTAAGAAATATTTTTCCTGGCCAGGTACAGTGGCTCACACCTGTAATTCCAGCACTTTGGGAGGGCGAGGTGGGTGGATCACTTGAGGCCAGGAGTTCAAGACCAGCTGGCCAACACGACGAAACTCTGTCTCTGCTAAAAATACAAAAATTAGCCAGGCGTGATGGCACGTGCCTGTAATCCCAGCTACTCGGAGGCTGAGGCACAAGAATCGTTTGAACCCAGGAGGTGGAGGTGCAGTGAGCCAAGATTGTGCCACTGCTTGCAGCCTGGGTAACAGAGTGAGACCCTGTCTCAAAAATATATACATTTTTTCTTAACTGCTTTGTTGTGGGACAGTCACATTGAAGGCAAGAGTTTTATTTTTCTCCTCATTGTGCCTATCATGAGGCAGATGTCTTGGGTCAGGTTCTCCAAGATGTTTTTCTGAGGCAACAGTACAAGAGCAAATGATTTCTTAAGGAAGTGCTTCCAGGCGAGACCAGTAAGAGAGTAGGGTAAGCAGAAAAGGGGAGGGGAAGAAGCCAAGCAAGGAGGTGATCTCAGGGGGAGTCCCAGCCTTGGCCTGACCCTGTCTGCAAGTGACCCCTTGAGTCAAAAGGCCTTCAGGCTCCTGCCCCGGCAGTCTGTGGCTACTGGGGGATGTAGACTACCAGGCACTTCAAGGTCTCCAAGCCTGGGCAGAGTAGCTCCAAGGGTTGGTTCAGTTATTTGAAGGAAGTCATAGGTTCGGGCCTCTAGGAGCAAAGCACACATGAGCTAGAGGCAGTGTCCAAGCTGTGAGGAGATTCACTGAGGGGGCTTGATTAGAACAAGGACAGCATCTGTCACTACAGGACACATGACAGATGTGCATTTGCTGCATGTTACATCACTGATTGACTTCTTTTGGAAGTTCCCAGATGATTAATAAGCTCTTAGCTTTTTCTGATGGTTTGGCATTTTGTAGGCACTGTCTGAGTCCTGAGGCAACAGAGCACTGAATATCAGTAAGAGAAAGTCCAAGGCAGGTGGAATCACCTCCTGGTTTATAACAATTCATGGCAAATTCTCTGAGCTCTTCTATCAGTTCACTGTAAGCTCTGATCTATGTCACTGGTAGGTGACATGTGAAGTCACTCAGGCCCTGTCAGCCAGGCTCCTATGCAAGCTGTGGGCATGATTTCAGCCAGCTCAGAGCCAGTTAGAAGGCAACCTGAAATAGGTGGGCAGGAAACGCCAACAGGGATAGGAAGTGAGCACCCATCCGCCCACCCCTCTCCCTAGGGCACTGGGACTGCTGATTCAGTGAGAATATTCTTGTTAGATCGTGAGGAACATGGCATCTGAGGTCTGAAGGCAGAGGTGTCCCTTCAGCTTCTGTGCAAGGCTGTTCTCTGCATGAGAGATGGCCTGGACCCCACAAATAAAACCCACACCCTCCTTACCATCCCTGCGGGGCCAACATCACAACACACACCCGGATGATTTGTGAGGCCTCCCTCAGGTGAGACAATGATTGTGCATTCATTTCCTTTTCGTTTCCAAAATGGCAGATGTTATTTTCTCAGAAGCTGCATCACTTCCCATAATCAAAAGCAGGAGTTAGAGAGAAGAGGTGATTATAAGAACACAGAATTCACTGAACTCAAAAGCATGTCAAACTCTTCCAACTGCAAATACTTTTTTTTTTTTTTTTTTGTCAAATGATGAGATTGGAAAAACATTGCTTGCATTTTGCCTCCAACCCCTAGCCTGTTTCTTTTAGAAACCCATGTGGCTTTGAAGGGAAATATAATCCACATGTTTGAATTCCTATTAATTTAACTCATCCTCATCTTGTTTATGGGAGAGACTTATTGTCTATGAAAGTTTTATGGTGTCTTAGGTGAAACTCCCTCCTTCTTTCCCCCTTTCTCTTTCTTCCTCTCACCTCTCCTTTCTTTCTTATTTGTCTCTCTTTTTTATCATCACCTTCTCTTCTCTTCACAATTTTTCTCTCTCTTTCTCGTTATATTTTTTTCTGGGATTTTCCTTCTTCCCACTCCATTTTCTTCTCTTTGTCCCTTCTTTAGCTCCTAGAGATATTTATCACTTTTTATTTTCCTATTCATCTTCCCTCCCCTTGTTGTCTTTGCCCATTCCTTCGCTTTGTATTCAGGACATAAAGTGTGTATCCCCAGGCTCATTGTGATTATAGCTGAGAGAATGATGTTCCCATCCTGTCTGTGAGCCAAATTTTATTATTACAACAGCCAGGGCTTCAGAGAAAAGCGGGTGAGCTCTGTGTCTGCCGCAGATTAACCAGTGCCTGGGCCAGCTGGGCCAACTGCAAGAACACACTCAGATCCTTTTGCTGCAAGGAGACACCGTTGGTCCCCCAGGACTTTCCTTTCCTGGGGCATTCACTCCTAAGGAGTGGGAGTTGCAAGACTGAGACAGGCTTGGGATGTGGGAAAGAAAGAAGTTGGGCTAGGTATCTTCATAGTTAGACCAACCTCATGGGGCTAAAGGCTAGAATATGTAGGACCAGAATTTACCGTACTTGAAAAGCAAAACTCTTTTTACATAGTTTATATTCTCTATAACTATTTCTTATCATTTGCCCTTATTGTTTTCTTTAGTATTTCTTAGTAGACAGAAATACAAAGAAGAAAATAAAAGTTGACCTCTACTGTCTCTATTCAGGTAACTCCTGATATGTAAAAATAATAAATAAAATAATTGTGTGTAAATTAAGAAATCTCAAGACATATATGAAGTTTCTAAATGAAAGGTGAAAGTTTTCCACTCCATATTCCCTTTCCTATTGGTAATTAATCAACATTAGCAATTTCTTATTGTTCCCTTCAGGGAAAAGATATGCATACCCAACAAAATGTGTGTCTATTCACTTATCTTTTCTTCTTATTTTTAACACAAAAGAGATTATACCATATACACTGTTCTGTGCCTTGCATATTTTATTATATATAAATCTGTTTTTTTAAAAAAATCTGCCTAATATACATTATATAGATGCCCTCTCAGTAAACTCTTAGCAGGAAGTTTGTCGGGTCAAATAATTTGAATTTTGACATATATTATCCAATGTCCTCCAAAAAAGGATGCAATGGTTTATGTTTCCACAAAAAGAGTAGGGAAACAATGTCTGTTTCTTATTCCCTCATTGACGCTAGGTATTATCAATGTTAATTTTACCCCTGGTCTGATATATGAAAAACAGTATTTCATTTTTAAATTTGGATTTCTTTAATCATGAGAGAGATTGAAGTCAGAAAGCAATGTCCACTCTTACAAAGAGTTTGCCGTGAAGGACGGGGAGAGAGAACGCATAGCAGGACTTAGGAACGACGAAGACTCATGGCTGAGGATGAAAAAAGGAGATGGGGGTACTGACTAATGGGAAGTGGGCAGTACAGATCTAGGAGGGGAGGGATCTTGAGCATGGATGAAAGAGTTTGCCTTGGGCAGGAGGAGGCCAGCACTGCTTAGAGTTAGGCTGTAAGGAGCAGAGCGGACATGGATGCGTGTGCACCGGTCATGATTCAGGGCAGGAGGCACAGACCAGTAGGCTCCCACCACTTGGCCACTCTGTCTTTGTGTGACTTGGCCCAAGTTGCAGAGCTATTTAGTGGTAGAAATGGGGTGATACTCAGAATTGTGGAGTTTAAGTCATGTGATGTCAACAACAATCTTGTTTTCTTTGTAAAAATTTAACTGTAACTTTTCTTTCTTTCTTTCCTTTTTTTTTTTTTTTTTTTTTTTTGAAACGGAGTTTCACTCTTGTTGCCCAGGCTGGAGTGTAATGGTGAGATCTCAGCTCATTGCAACCTCCACTTCCTGGGTTCAAGCGATTCTCCTGCCTCAGCCTCCCAAGTAGCTGGGATTACAGGCACATGCCACCACAACCCGGCTAATTTTTGTATTTTTAGTAGAGACAGGGTTTCACTATATTGGCCGGGCTGTCACAAACTGCTGACCTCAGGTGATCTACCCACCTCAGCCTCCCAAAGTGCTGGGATTACAGGCATGAGCCACCACGCCTGGTCAACTCTAACTTTTCTAATGAAAAGATGTGCTATTATATTCTAAAATGAATATAATGCAGCATGTGACAAGGGCTAATATGGAAATTTTAAATGATCCATGTCACAAGAAACATGGGAGGGAGATTAAGGGGTAAAGTTGGGATTTACAAGGCAATTTGCTCTCTGCTCCCATTCTCTTAATCCGTAAACCTTTACTCTAGGAATTTTTTTTTCCAGCTGCACTAACACTGCTCCCCAAACACCCCGGACCCTGTCCTTGCCATCCTTGGGGATACATCTTACAGATGAGCTTATCTTCCCCTAAGACTACCTACTTCTCCTGGTCCCATGCCCATGAGGTCACCCTCTGCTAATACTCTCAGTCACTGTGTGCTTTCTTGTGAGTGAACAATGTCCTGAGTGACTGAAAAAGACTTCCTGTCTTTTTGGCATGGTTAATGGCAAGTTGACATTCTAGCATCTTGTGTATAAGAAGATGGATTTAGGCCAGGGTGTGGTGGCAGCACTTTGGGAGGCTGAGGCGGGCAGATCACCTGAGGCCAGGAGTTTGAGACCAGCCTGGTCAACATGATGAAACCATATCTCTACTAAAAATACAAAAATTAGCCAGGCGTAGTTGCACACCCCTGCAGTCCCAGCTACTCAGGAGCCTGAGGCTGGAGGATCACCTGAGCCCAGGAGGCAGAGGTTGTGGTGAGCCGAGATCATGCCACACTCTAGCCTGGCAACAGAGTAGACTTGTCTCAAAAAAAAAAAAAAAAAGCAGCAGCAGCTACATCTAATTGCTCCCAAGGCAGCAATAAGGACACACTTCCAACATGAAAAGAGCTAAAGAGCAGAACCCACACCTGTGGTTAGAATGTCAAAACCCTGCCAATCTGTCTGACGCAACCATCTGGAGTCATCCTTCATGTGCCAAAACTGCACCCCAACCTTTCCTGGGTGACAATGTAGGATGAAGCCTGACTCTATCTGGGAAGC
Organism: Homo sapiens; assembly: GCF_000001405.40. Classification (NCBI taxonomy): domain Eukaryota; kingdom Metazoa; phylum Chordata; class Mammalia; order Primates; family Hominidae; genus Homo; species Homo sapiens. The sequence goes on along the minus strand of NC_000020.11, from coordinate 4,432,128 downwards.
CAAGATCTTCTGTGATGTATAGAGCTATGTTTACCTAGGACACCTTATCTTGCTCTGTGGACAGTCAGCCTAGGACAAACTGGGGCTGGGTCTGATTTAAGTCAAATAGATACATTGTTGGTGTCTACCCCGCAAAGGAGTGTTGACCTAATGTGCAGTTCACAGCCTCTTGCAGGCTCAGAAGCCTGCCCAACACTTTGACACCTGGAAAACCTTTCTGTAGCCATGAGAGAAAGGGGGTCTGTGTAAAATTCTTCCATCATCACAGACCTGGGGGCCAGCCAGACCAGAGAACAGAGAAGGGTGCTTCCTGGCTCCTTCCACATCATAGTCCTTACCATACAAGCCCCATTGTGACTTCATGGCCTCCACTGAGCCTCCTTCACTGGACCTGCTACTGTTGAGCCAAGTCCTTGGTTTCTATTACCTGCTCAACTCCTTCTGTGCATAGCTCCTGACTGCCGAGCTGGGAAGAACTCCAGTCCTTTCCTAGGCTAGGGATTTTAACAACGGAACAAAATCCCAGGTGAACATAGGCTCAGTGCATAAAACAGATAAAAGTGGAGGTGGGAGAATTAAACCAGGGGTGGTGGGCAACTCTGAAATCTACTTCTCCTCCTCTTCCCTCCAGTGCTCTTCAAGGTGACAAGGGGAACCACTAAGGTTTCACAAGGCACAGTTTGTGAACAACTGATTGGAGCCAGCCTCATCAGGCTAGATGTACCTATAGCAACCAGCATGGATCTCAAAAACATAGTACCAAACGAAATAAGACAGACTGAGGTAATAGAAGATTACTATCTTCTTTACCTGAACTATGGTGGCCAGAACACGGCAATACATATTCTGCAAGAAGACATCTACACAAAAGATACACACTCAACAGAAAGGGTGCCGTGGTGGGGAGAAGGGGGTGAGGCAGAGACATTAAAGGGAGTGAGTTATTAAAATGTATTTAATCAATGAAACAAAATGTTAGGTTAAAAACAGAAGAAAAACCCAACTTCTGAACCTAAGCCCCTCATTTTACAAATGAGAAAGCCTAGGCCCAGCAGGTGCCCAAAGTCAACAGTGACATCCTGGGTAAGAACTGGGGTCTGGGCCGGGCGCGGCGGCTCACGCCTATAATCTCAGCATTTTGGGAGGCCGAGGTGGGTGGATCACTTGAGGCCAGGAGTTCGAGACGAGCCTGGCCAACATGGTAAAACCCCGTCTCTACTAAAAATACAAAAATTAGCTGAGCCTGATGGTACGCACCTGTAATCCCAGCTACTTGGGAGGCCGAAGCAGGAGAATCACTTGAACCTGGGAGGCAGAGGTTGCAGTGAACCGAGATCACATCACTGCACTCTAGCCTGGGCAAAAGAGGGAGACTCCTTCTCAAAAAAAAAAAAAAGAAAAGAAAAGAAAGAAACAAAAAAGAACTGGGGTCGGCTAGCTGCCATCTAGCAGTCCCCCACAACCCTGGGGGAGGAGCAGGGGCTATTTTTCTTGCTGTTTTTGGAACATGCACTGGGTGACTCCAGCTCTCTACCCCAGGACTAATCAGTGGTTGAGTTGTGCCTTCCCCTTTCGTTTCCCTTCTCCTCTGCCCCACTGTGCCCAGCCAGCCCAGGCTGGCCTCGAAATCTGAAGGGATCTGTTATCCTTAAAACCCACGATCTCAGACTAGAGTTTGGGCCCCTCTTTGCTTGTGGATCTTGAGTATTTTTCCTGGGAGTCATCACTTCCTCCATCATTTAGAACCAGAAAGATCCCAAAAGTTCACATTGTGGACAAGCTCCCTCGTTTTACGAGTAATGGACATTTGAATAAGGCCACTTTCTGCTTTTTTTTTTTTTTTTTTTTTTTTTGAGACAGAGTTTCGCTCTTGTTGCCCAGGCTGTAGTGCAATGGCATGATCTCGACTCACTGCTACCTCCGCCTTCCGGGTTCAAGTGATTCCCTGCCTCAGCCTCCAGAGTAGCTGGGATTACGGGCTCGTGTCACCCCACTCAGCTAATTTTGTATTTTTAGTAGCGACGGGGTTTCACCATGTTGGTCAGGCTGGTCTCGAACTCCCGACCTCAAGTGATCTACCCACCTCAGCCTCCCAAAGTGCTGAGATTAAAGGCGTGAGCCACCGTGCCCAGCCTTAAGGCCACTTTCTACATTGGATAAGGCCATCGCATTTTGGTGCACTTTTAAGAGGAACTATGAAACTCTCACCTTAAGACAATTTGCCAAATAATACAAACCACCACAGGTGCTTAAATGAACTCCTGGAACACATTAAGGACAGGAGGAGCCACGGGACAAGGCCCAGGGAGGTCTGTGAGGAACACGTGGTGAACACACACAGGAGAATTTCACATTTTAATGGAACATTTGCTTTAAGAAGCTTTCACTTTTACCCTTTAGGTATACCATTCATCCCAAATTATTGTTTTTAATTTTTATTCTAGATTCCGGGGGTACACATGCATGTTTGTTACATGGGTATATTGTGCAATGGTAGAGATTGGACTTCTAGTATGCATGTCACCTGAATATTGAACATTGTATCCAGCAGGTAATTTTTCACTCTTCATCTTCCTCTCACCCTCTTTTTTGTGGAGTCCACAGTGTCTACTGTTTCCAACTTTCTGTCCGTGTGTACTCATTGTTTAGCTCCCACTTATAAGTGAGAACATGTGATATTTGGTTTTCTGCTACTGAGTTAGTTCACTTAGGATCACAGCCTCCAGCTTCACTCATGTTGTTGCAGAGGGCATGATTTCATTCCTTTTATGGCCGTGTGCTATTGTATGGTATATATGTACCACATATTCTTTATTCAATCGACCACTGATGGACACATAGGTTGGTTCATGACTTTGCTATTGTTAATGGTATTACAACAAACATAGGAATGCGGGGGGTTTTTTTTATATAATTGAATTAATTTTTATATATGGTATGAGGTACAAGTTGAGGTTTTTTTCTTTTCCATGTACATATCCATTTGTCTCAGGACTATTTAGTGAAAAGATTGTCCATTCTCCATTGGATTTCCTTTGTTGAAAATTAAATGACTATTTAAGTGAGGGTCTATTTCCAGGCTCTTTCTTGTGTTTCATAGATTTCTTTGTCTGTTCTTGCTCTGGTATTGCATGGTCTTAACTATCGTAGCTTAATAGTTAGTCTTGAAATTATGTAATGTAAGTTTGTAAGTTCTCCACTTTGTTATTCTTTTTTTTTTGAGACAGAGTCTCACTCTTGCCCAGGTTGGAGTACAGTGGTGCAATTGAGGATCAAGGCTCACTTTCAACCTCCCCAGGCTCAGGCAATCCTCCCACCTCAGCCTCCCAAGTAGCTGGGACTATGGGTGTGCACCACCACACCCAGCAAATTTTGTATTTTTTATACAGACAAGGTCTCACTTTGTTTTGCAGGCTGGTCTCAAACTCCTGGGTTCAAGCCATCCACCTACCTCAGCCTCCCAAAGTGCTGGGATTACAGGCATAAGCCACCATGCCCGGCCCTTTGTTATTCTCTTTTAAGATTACTTTGGCTACTCTAGACCCTTGCATTTCCATATACATTTCAGAATCAACTTAATTTCTGGAATCTCTGGGGGAAAAAAAGAAAAAAGACCCTGCTTGGATTTTAACTGAATGATGCAGCATTTGAAACTCACCAAAACTCCTGCTCCAAATTTTCAGCTATGCATTTAGTAAATAGTGAAACTGGACCTAGAGGAAATGATGCAACTTGCCTAAGCCTACAAGTTGTGTCAAGGCAGAAGTGGCTCTAGGAGTCCCAACTCCCAGCCCTGTTTCCTGGGTCCAGCGTAGCACCTTATGCAAGAAAAACTCTACATTATCTGACAGTGCACCAACACCCATGGTGATAAAGGACCGTAGCTGACAAAAGCCTCAGTTAGAGCCACCATCTCTGCCCACTGAATGGCTTTCCTGTAGGAAAAAAAAGTCATTCCTTTTCAAAGTGACAAAGTCTTATCCTGTCACCATGGTAACTCATCTTCTTCAGGCATCCCGACTGGCCTCTTTCTTGAAATAGCTTTTCTTTCCATTTTCCCAGGCCTGAAAAGCAGGGCCTGGCTGCTCATTCTGATGTCCACAGGAGGAAGGCAGGGCACAATAGGACAAGGGGGTGATGTTATAGGACTTCACCCACAGGGGACCCGTCTGGATACTCTAAAGGGGCTGTAGACAGCAGGGATTAACTTCATAATTTTCTTTTTCTTTCTTTTTATCTTTTTTTTTTTTTAGACAGAGTCTTAGTCAGTCACCCACGCAGTGCAGTGGTACAGTCTTGGCTCACTGCAGCCTTCAATCCCAGGCTCAAGGGATTCTCCTGCCTCAGCCTCCAGAGTAGCTGGGACTACAGGCACACACCACCACACCTGGCTAATTTTTTTTTTGAGACTGAGTCTCACTCTGATGCCCAGGCTGGAGTGCAGTGGCACAATCTTGGCTCACTGCAAGCTCCGCCTCCCAGGTTCACACCATTCTTCTGCCTCAGCCTCCCGTGTAGCTGGAACCACAGGCGCCGGCCACCGCACCTGGCTAATTTTTTGTATTTTTTTAGTAGAGATGGGGTTTCACCATGTTAACCAGGATGGTCTCGATCTCTTGACCTCATGATCCGCCCGCCTAGGCCTCCCAAAATGCTGGGATTACAGACTTGAGCCACCGTGCCCGGCCTAATTTTGTATTTTTAATAGAGATGAAGTTTTACCATGTTGGCCAGGCTGGTCTGGAACTCCTGGCCTCAAGTGATCTGCTCTCCTTGGCCTCCCAAAGTGCTGGGATTATGGGCGTGAGCCACCATGCCCGGCCCTAACTTCATAATTTTCTGAGTGTGGGCTGGGTTCTGATGTGCATTGGTTCAAAGTCATAATTCTTGCCTTCAAGACCCTTTTGATCTACTTAAGTAATTAGGACAAAAACAAAGCAAGCCAAATTGCCAAATGAAGATATGCTCCTTACTACAGGAAATCTTAATGGCCTTTGACAGACCTGTCTTGTGACAAATTCCATACGCTGTGTGGAATTTCCAAAAGTTGTTTGACCATAGAACTAATCTAATAGAATGCTATTACTTGTATCACTGTGTTTCAGGAGCTCTCCTCCACATCCCTGAGTGACAAATGGCCGTCCTCTTTGATAAGTTCCAAAGGCTGAACACCTGTTTATATTCACGAACTATTCTTTATTAAGACTTCCCTAGGAATGATTTACAATAGTACCTCTATCCAGAGCTACCCCAAGGGCTGACAATGACTCTTACTTAGATGGTCCGGATTTGGATGACAGTATCCTACTGGTCTGTGTCCTTTAACATTAAATCTTTATGTGAAGACATAAAACAAAGACATATCCCAGATGCCCTAAATGCTGGGACATATGCCTTACATACTAGCTAGAATAATCTAGGCTGGTGCATAAAGTGAACCAGGAAAAGCGGGGAAATCCCTTGCCAAAGAACTCATAGTGGCAGTGTTTGGGGGATTAGGTAGAACATCTGTTGAGGGAGATCTAGGTTGGAGAGACCTCAAGGCTGAGCTCAAGAAGGCATTTCCCATATCACATGGTCTAGAGGCTGGAAGGAGAATCCCTTTCCCAAATTTGATCTGGAGCCTTGAATGTATCCAGCATTGGATTTTAAAGAGAGTGCAAATGGGACTCTAGCCAGAGAGAAGGTGGAAAATCTTTTACCTAACAAGAGTAACTGATCCACTTAGAATTTTAATTGTGGCCTAAAATAAGAAAAAGCAAAGCCATTTAATTAGGAACACCCTCAGAGGAAATTGAGCTCCCTGGAGTCCCCATCTCTTCACCCTAGCGGCCTTGCTTATACAGATGGTCCCTGATGTGCAATGGTTTGATTTATAATTTTTCAACTTTACAAGGGTGCTATAGCAACACATATTTAATAGAAACTGTACTTCAAATTTTGAATTTTGTTCTTTTCTTGGGCTAGCAAGATGAGGTATGATACTCTTTTGAGATGCTGGGCAGTGGCAGCAAGACACAACTCCCAGTCAGCCATACAATCAGGAGGGTAAACAATGGATACCCTACAGTATACTATGTTGCCAGATGATTTTGCCTAACCACAGACTAATATGAGTGTTCTGAGCATGTTTAAGGCAGCATAGGCTAAACTATGATGCTCGGCATGTTAGTTGGATTAAATGCATTTTCAGCTTAGCATATTTTCAACTTCTGATGGGTTTGTCCGGACATAGTCCCCTCATGAGTTGAGGAGCATCTGTACTGCCCACCACTCCACTCCCTTGGTCCTGCCCTGGCCCCTTGGTATTCCCTCTGCTGCCAGAACATTCCCTATATGTGGTAACTCTAGTGAGGAACAGGCTGAACTCAAAGCCACTAATTCCATTTGACAACCAGTCGGGATATGCAGGTCTTTATTTGGAAACTGCCCTGGTCCAAAAATGTGCCAAGATCTGTTAACTCTCCCTAGGGCCAGAATACCCAATCTGGGGCTCTCCACCCTGGGAAATTCAAGCAACAAGAAAGAAACTTGTGTTAGACACTGGTCACTTTGCATTAGGGCCATATACCCTAAGTTCCCTCAGCCAACCCGTCTCCGTCTGAGGAGAATCAGTTTTGTTTTTCTGAGCAGCCAGCTCAGAGGCTGAGAATTCCGTTTGCTGAGGTCACGTCACTGCATCCAGTGAGCCCTCCCTGATTACCCCAGATTCACAATGTTGCCTTCTCAATACTCCTGAAAAATGCACTGGGTCCAGTTGTATCTTGAGCCCTATTATCGAAACTCCCCATCCTTAGCATGGACAGGAGGAGAGGAGAATCAATTCAGTCTAGAGTGGGAGTGACATATATATGGCATTATCACCCCCACTCCCCACAGTCTTGCCCATAACAGTGATCAATCACTTGTTATTTTCTACTGTGCCCAGATATGGCCTCAAAATCGCCTGTACAGTAATTGATAGGAACTGGAATCTAAGACAAAGCACATTTTCCACGCCTGTTCTAGAGATTAGAGTGTGCTATTAAGAATGCACCATGAAATATTACTCAATCATAAAAAAAGGAATGAAGTACTAATGCATGCTGCAATGTGAATGAGCCTCAAAAAGTGAAAGAAGCCAGACACAAAGGGTTACATATTGTATGATTCTATTTATATGAAACATCCAGAATAGTTAATTCCATAGAGGCAGAAAACAAATTGGTGGTTGTCAGGGGTTGAGGAGATGGGCAATGGGGAATAACTGCTTAATGAGCATGGATTTCCTTTTGGGAATCAAAGTGTTTTGGAATTAGATATAGATGATGGTTGAGCAACATTGTGAGTGCACTAAATGCTGTTCACTTTAAAATGGTTAATTTTACATTATGAATTCATAGTTTCATGCATCTCAAGAAAAGTTTTTCCTTAATTAAAAAAAGAATGCACCATGAAAGAGATTTAGGGGATGATAGCTCTGATAAAGAAGAAAGTGTTTATTCATTCACTTAACTGAATTCATCACATATTTATTGAGCATTTACCATATGCCAAGCACTGCCCTAAGCACTGCAAGATACAAAGTCTATGATGTCAGTGGAGGAGAAGGACAGTTAAAGATATAGTGCCGCGTGCTGAGTGCATGGCAGAAGTAGGTAGAAAGTTCCATGGGAGTACACAGCAGGGGCAACCAAATGAGATTAGGAGGTCAGAGGAGGCTTCCTAGGGAAGATAAACTTTTAAGCAATAAAATAAATTAGCTAAATTTGGAGGCAGGGTAGGGAGGGCTTAGCTGACTGTAAGAACAATTTATGTAAAGGCACAGATGTAGGACAGCTACTTAGGGGTTTTGATGACTCAAGAAAAGGGTGTCAGAAACAAGAGAAAACGAGTTCGTATGTTTATTTCTCAAAACCCTAATGTCACCAAAATATAATTGGGGAAGCATTTCAGAAGAATTCGTGATATCGTACATGCATAAGGGCTTTGCTGGCTGGGAGATGCAAAACAGTACTCCTGAGTGTAGTTCATGGACCCAGCAACATCAGCACCACCTGGGAGCTTTTTAGGAATAAAAATTCTACTGAGTCACACACTCCGGGGATGAAGTTTAGGGATCTTTGGTTTAACACGCACTACAGGTGATTCTGATTCATGCTAAACATGCAGGTGTGTAATGGTTCATGCTGTTACAGTCACTGATTCCACCTGCATGTCCCTTGGGTACCTTCGTCATCCCAAACTGGACACATTCCACTCAGCATCACCTTCTCCTGGTTTACCTTATTCCTTCAATGTCGGTGCCTCCAAGGATTTTAGACTCGACATTTCAGTATGGCTTTGATCCTCTGCTGTTCCCACCCCTATCCCATCTGTCCTCATGCCGTGGGAGCTTGTTTGTCTGGCTAATAACCTAAATCCACTAGACACTATTAAAAGGTCAAGAGACAGTGCAACAGCGGGCATAATGAAGGAAGATCAGGCCAGTCTATTAGGCCAGATGGACTTTTGTCCTCAACCTCCCTCTGGGCAAGGCTCAGCCTGTCTGGGATCACATCCCAGCTTCTCTTCTTTCTGGCTGTGTGATTTACCATGAGTTATTTACCATCTCTGTCTGTGCCTCCGTTTCCTCAGTGGTAAAGTGAAGATAATAATAGTACTTACCTCATAGGATTGTTATGGGGAAGAATGAGTTAATACAGGTAAAGGAATTAGAACAGTGCCTGACTCAATAAATATTATTGTTATTATTATCACAGTCACATTATTCACTGACGGCAACAGTCTCTTGTCTTCCAGCCTCTCTTCAAGCCTCCTGGCCTTGCAGCCTGGCCTGCTCGGTGCTGTGAAAACAGCAGCCTTGTGTTGAATAAGTCACTCCCCGCCTTGAAAGTCTTCAGTGGCTTCCTATCATTGTCACTGATTTTAAGGACCACTCCCACCTCCAACTCCTTTTTTAGCAATAGAACCCTTTGTTCCTTTGCTTTTAGTGGGCTCTTACAGATAATAGAGGACCTGCTTGGGTTGAAGTGAGGGGATGCGAGGCCCTTCCAGCTTCCCCCTTGCCCTTCCTTGTCCCACAGGAGATGTCCCTGAGGAACCCTGGTATCTGAGAAATCCTACCTGGAAACTTCTGGCCTATGAAATCCAAACAGCCAATCAAGGTGCTCATTTGCTTCAAGATCATGGTCTCCGGAGAGGCAAATTGCCATGTACAGTTCCATCTGGTATCTCTGCTGGGCTGCTCACCTGGTCCACCCTTCAAGATGGCATTGGTCTAAACTTCCCACCAAACTATCTAGTCTCACTCAGCTACTCGTACTCCCAGTCAGCCTAGTCCCAAGGGACCATGAAGGGACCATGCCTTCCTCTTGACCCTAATGTCCCTTGTATTTGTCAGACACCCTCCCAGAGGGCAGGGAACAGACTCTGGGGAGCCCTGAAACCAGAGAAACCCAGGACAAGCTATTTCCAACTCAGAATGTTCTGGCCACCCACCCAGGCTTTGTCTGATTTCTGATGTTCTTTAGAATCTTCTCATTACATCACTAAGAAAAGCATGATTAAGTCCATACACACACACACACACACACACGCACACACACATACATATAAAAGATAAATGTGTATCTTTAATAACTTTTATTATGTTTTCTGATTACAAAAGTAATATATTGCCACAATATTAGAAGAACTGTATCGAATACAGAAAATTATAAAAAATAAAAAAGATAAAGTATAAGGCCTCCACACAGAGATAGGCATTATTAATTCTTTGGTATAGTCCCTTTGAATATTTTTATATGAATACATTCACATTTGTTCATACAATTTAGATTATAATTCTATAACTATAGGTTACATGTCATTGAAAAATTCTTCAAGAACAAAATTTTGAATAACTCAATTATATTTCTTCGATTGGGGTATACTTGTTCAATAAACAATAACTCACATTTATTGAGCACTTACTATGTGCAGGCCTTGTATTTGGTGTTTGGTGTTGATTTATTAACAAACAGGAGTTTACACTCAGGGAGCTAACAGTCTATAGTATACGGTATATTTTTAACAAATGAACATGAGAACAAAGCTACAATTACAAATTATGCTAGATTTAATCATAGGAAAGAATAGAATTCTATGAGAAAGCTTAGCACAACTAACTTTGGGGATACAGGAAAAGTCTCTCTGAGGAAGTCGTATTTCATTTGGGACCCAAAAGATAAGTATAAGTTAAAGTGTGGGGGAGAGGAAGAATAATTCAGACTGTGTTAGATTTTGCGGCATTAATTCTGCATCACAATCATAAGCAGTCTCAGTGGCTTGCAATACCATTTACTGTTCTCACTCAGTCTCGGATTTGGCTGGAGTCTGGGTGATCTCGGCTGGACTCAGCTGGGCTCAGCATCAGGCTGCAGGTTGGTTTTGAGTTAGCTCCAGTGTCCCACTCAGAGCCAAAAAGCTACAGGAACACGATCTCTCATGGTGGATGACAGAAGTGGAAGAGGCCAAGACAAACATCCCAAACACATCTAAAGCCTCTGCTAGCATCACATCTATTAACATACATCAGTCCAGGTACTGGAGCAAGAAAACATGTCTTACTTCCTCCACAGAGAGGCTCTGTAAAGTGCATGAGTAGACACTTTATTACAGGGACAGAGTGAAGAATCAGGAGCAATAATGCAATCTACCTCCTAGACAAAAAGAAAGGCATGAGCAAAGCCTCCACATAAGGAAAGAACTAGGAAAAAGGCTGCAGTGAAGCCGGGCCGGTGGCTCACGCCTATAATCCCAGCATTTTGGGAGGCCGAGGCATGTGGATCACAAGGTCAGGAGATCGAGACCATCCTGGCTAACGTGGTGAAAACCCCTCTCTACTAAAAATATAAAAAAATTAGCCAAGCGTGGTGGTGCCCACCGATAGTCCCAGCTACTTGGGAGACTGAGGCAGGAGAATCGCTTGAACCCTTGAACCCGGAAGGCAGAGGTTGCAGTAAGCCGAGATCACGCCACTGCTGCACTCTGGCCTGGGCAACAGAGTGAGAATCAGTCTTAAAAAAAAAAAAAATGCTGCAGTGACTGGCACACCCAGAGAGGGAGACGAGTCATAAATTATAATATTAGAGAGGCAGTGAGGAAATTCGAATTTTATTTATACTGCATTAAAATGCCAAACAGAGGCCAGGCATGGTGGCTTACACCTTTAATCTCAGCACTTTGGGAGGCTGAGATGATCTCAGCCTGAGGTCAGGAGTTCAAGACCAGCCTGGCCAACATGGCAAAACCCCATCTCTACTAAAAATACAAAAATTAGCTAGGAATGGTGGCATGCGCCTGTAATCCCAGCTACACAGGAGGCTGAGGCAGGAGAATCACTTGAACCTGGGGGATGGAGGTTGCAGTGAGCCAAAATCATGCCATTGCAATCTAGCCTGGGCGACAGAGCAAGATTCCGTCTCAAAAAAAAAAAAAAAAAAAAAAAAAGCCAATAAACTAGATATTCATGGAACATGTATCAAAATAATAAGAGCTATTTATGACAAACCCACAGCCAATGTCATACTGAATGGGCAAAAGCTGAAGCATTCCCTTTGAAAACCAGCACAGGACAAGGGTGCCCTCTCTCACCACTCCTCTTCAACATAGTATTGGAAGTTCTGGCCAGGGCAATCAGGCAAGAGAAAGAAATAAAGCGTATTCAAATAGGAAGAGAGGAAGTCAAATTGTCTCTGCAGGTGACATGATTGTATATTTAGAAAACCCCATCGTCTCAGCCCAAAATTTCCTTAAGCTGGTAAGCAACTTCAGCAGTCTCAGGATGTAAAATCAATGTGCAAAAATCACAAGCATTCCTATACACCAATAATACACAAACAGAGAGCCAAATCATGAGTAAAGTCCCATTCACAATTGCTACAAAGAGAATAAAATACCTAGGAATACAACTTACAAGGGATGTGAAGGACCTCTTCAAGGAGAACTATAAACCACTGCTCAAGGAAATAGAAGAGAACACAAACAAATGGAAAAACATTTTATACTTACGGATAGGAAGAATCAATATCGTGAAAATGGCCATACCGCCCAAAGTAATTTATAGATTCAATGCTATCCCCATCAAGCTACCATTGACTTTCTTCACAGAATTGGAAAAAACTACTTTAAATTTCATATGGAACCAAAAAAGAGCCCATGTAGCCAAGACAATCCTAAGCAAAAAGAACAAAGCTGGAGGCATCACACTACCTGACTTTAAACTATACTACAAGGCTACAGTAACTGAAACAGCATGGCACTGGTACCAAAACAGATACATAGACCAATGGAACAGAACAGAAGCCTCAGAAATAACACCACACATCTACAACCATCTGATCTTTGACAAACCTGACAAAAACAAGCAATGGGGGAAGGATTTCCTATTTAATAAATGGTGCTGGGAAAACTGGCTAGCCATATGCAGAACACTAGACCCCTTCCTTACATCTTATACAAAAATTAACTCAAGATGGATTAAAGACTTAAACTAAGACCTAAAAACCCTAGAAGAAAACCTAGGCAATACCATTCAGGACATAGGCATCGGTAAAGACTTCATGACTAAAACACCAAAAGCAATGGCAACAAAAGCCAAAATTGACAAATGGAATCTAATTAAACTAAAGAGCTTCTGCACAGCAAAAGAAACTATCATCAGAGTGAATAGGCAACCTACAGAATGGGGGAAAATTTTTGTAATCTATCCATCTGACAAAGGGCTAATATCCAGAATCTACAAGGAATTTAAACAAATTTACAAGAAAAAAAATCCCATCAAAAAGTGGGTAAAGGATATGAACAGACACTTCTCAAAAGAAGACATTTATGCAGCCAACAAACATGAAAAAAAGCTCATCATCACTGGTCATTAGAGAAATGCAAATCAAAACCACAATGAGATACCGTCTCACACCAGATAGAATGACGATCATTAAGAAGTCAGGAAACAACAGATGCTGGAGAGGATGTGGAGAGATAGGAATGCTTTTACACTGTTGATGGAAGTGTAAATTAGTTCAACCGTTGTGGAAGACAGTGTGGCGATTCCTCAAGGATCTAGAACCAGAAATATCATTTGACCCAGCAATCCCATTACTGGGTATATACCCAGAGGATTATAAATCATGCTACTATGAAGACACATGCACTTGTATGTTTATTGCAGCAGTATTTACAATAGCAAAGACTTGGAACCAACCCAAATGCCCATCAATGATAGACTGGATAAAGAAAATGTGGCACATATACACCCTGGAATACTATGCAGCCATAAAATAGGATGAGTTCATGTCCTTTGCAGGAACATGGATGAAGCTGGAAACCATCATTCTCAGTAAACTAACACAGGAACAGAAAACCAAACACCGCATGTTCTCACTCATAAGTGGGAGTTGAACAATGAGAACACGTGGACACAGAAAGGGGAATATCACACACTGGGGCCTGTCAGGGGGTTGAGGGCTAGGGAAGGGATAGCATTAAGAGAAATACCTAATGTAGATGACGAGTTGATGGGTGCAGCAAACCACCATGGCCGTGTATACCAATGTAAAAAACCTGCACGTTCTGCACACGTATCCCAGAACTTAAAGTATAATGATAATAATAATAAATCAAACAGAGAGCTTCTAAACAAGACAGTGGTAAGGGAGATGATGTAGATAGGCTCATGGAATACCCATTCTCAACATCATTTTCTCTTGCCTTTCTCTAAAGAAATATTCAGTTTCCAAGGCTCCCTCACAGCTGGGGATAGTCACGTGATACAGTTTTAGACAATGAGATATAAGCTTATGTTCAGTAAGAACAGTTTCTGAGAAATTTTTGGACTACCTAATAAAAAGGGAAGTAAACTTTGGCAGGTTTTGTCGTTTGTCCTTCACTAACTTCCATCCTGAGCACAAATGTGATGCCTGGAGGCATGGCAGTCATATTGCAACCATGAGGACAGAAGGTAAATAAATTTAAGAATGGCAAAGCAGAAATGTAGAAAGTGACTCGGTCCTTAATCACATTATTCAGCTTCTGCATCAGCTCTGGACTGCCTGTGTTGGGCATTCTCATGTGAGAAAAAATAGGCATCTCTCTTTTTTTTCAAGTCATCATAAGTTGGATTTTCTCTTACTTGTTCCTGAATAAATTCTACACTGATACAAATGATATGATCCAACTTGTGTTCTAAAATGATCTGATTGTTTTGTAAGAAAGAATTTTGTGAGATAGGCAAGGGGAGAAACGAGGAGATAAGTTAGTGAACTATTGTAATAATCCAGGTAGGACATGAAGGTGTCTTGACTACAGTAGAGATACAGATAAATAGCTCAAAAACTTTAAAAATTTTTTAAGAAAGAATTGACTTGGTGATGGATTAGCTATATGGAACGGGGAGAGGAGGTAGGCAGAATTATGGCCTCAAGAAGATTCCACACTGTAAGCTCTGGGACTGTGAATCTGATGCCCATATGTGACCTTATATATGGGCATTATATGTGACCATACCCATATGTGACCTTACATGGGACTTTGCAGATGTAATTGGGATTTGTATTTGTGTCCTGGGGCTTTTGTAACAAAGCACCTCAAATGGAGTGGCCTAAAGCAACAGAAATGTGTTCTCTTACACATCTACTGGCCAAAAGTCTGAAATCGAGGGGTCAGCAGGGCCGTGACCTCTCTCCCAGCTCTGGGTTGTTACTGGGAGTCCTTGGCATTCCTTGGCTTACAGCTGCATAACCTGTGTCTCTGGCTCTGTTATCACACAGCCATCTGCCCTCTGTGCATCTGTCTTCATATGACAGAGCCTCTGTGTGTTTTTCTTTCTCTTTTCCTCTTCTTTTTTTTTTTTTTTTTTTTTTTTTTTTTTTTTTTTTTGAGATAGAGTTTCGCTCTTCTTGCCCAGGCTGGAGTGCAATGGCGCAATCTTGGCTTGGCTCACCACAACCTCCGCCTCCCAGGTTCAAGTAATTCTCCTGCCTCAGCCTCCCAAGTAGCTGGGATTACAGGCACGTGCCACCATGCCCAGCTACTTTTGTGTTTTTAGTAGAGACGGGGTTTCTCCATATTGGTCAGGCTGGTCTCGAACTCCCAACCTCAGGTGATCCGCCCACCTCGGCCTCCCAAAGTGCTGGGTCTTTTCCTCTTCTTAATAGGACACCAGTCAGATTGGATTCAGGGTCCACCTACTCCTCATCTGACTTTGTCTTAACTTGATTACATTTGCAAAGGCTCAATTTACAAATAAAGTCACATTCATGAGTACCAGGGTTATAACTTTAACATACCTTTTCAGGAGACACAGTTCAACCCACAGCAGTGTTACTGCTGATTTTTAAATAGGGAGATTATCCTGGATTTAGCCTGGATTATCCAGGTGAGCCCACTTTAACTGAATGGGCCTTTAAAGGCAGATAACTTCCTCCTGCCGCAGTCAGAGAGCTGCAGCACCAGGGCAAAACAGAGATGTCAATCATGAGAAGGGTTCTATGTGCTGTTGTTGCTTTTTTTTTTTTTTAATACTTTAAGTTCTGGGGTACGTGTGCAGAACATGCAGGTTTGTTACATAAGTATACACATGCCATGGTGTTATTTCTCCTAATGCTCCCCCTGTCCAGCCCCCTGCCCCCCGACAGACCCCGGTGTGTGATGTTCTCCTCCCTGTGTCCATGTGTTCTCCTACTTAGGAGTGAGAACATGCGGTGTTTGGCTTTTTGTTCAACTCCTACTTATGAGTGAGAACATGCGGTGTTTGGTTTTTTTGTTCTTGTGTTAGTTTGCTGAGAATGATGGTTTCCAGCTTCATCCAAGTCCCTGCAAAGGACATGAACTCATCCTTTTTTATGGCTGCATAGTATTCCATGGTGTATATATGCTACATTTTCTTTATCCAGTCTATCATTGATGAGCATTTGGGTTGGTTCCAAGTCTTTGCTATTGTAAACGGTACCACAATAAATTGTTGTTGCTTCTTAACAACACATAGAGTCACGTGCAAAAAACAAAAACAAAAACAAAACAAAAAAAAAAACAAAGAGAGGGCTCTAAAGAAGTAAGGGCACCCTGGATGGCAGCAAGCAAGGAAATGGGGACCTCAGTTCTACAACTGCAAGGAACTTCCATCAACCTGAATACACTTAGGACCAGATTCTTCCTAGAGCCTCCAGTAAGGAGCACAGCCCTGCTGATACCTTGATTTTGGCCCTCTGAGACCTGGAGCAGGGGAACCAACTGAGCCACACTGTGCCAAACTTCTGACCCGTGGAAGCTGTAAGATGATAAATGGGTGTGGTTTAAAGCCACTAAGTTTGTGGTAATTTGTTAGGCAGCAACAGATAACAAATACAAGGAGAGTATAAAGAATAACTCCCTGGTGTTTGTCTTAAGCAATGGTGGGTGGAGATGTCTTCACTTTGGTGGGAAAACCAGAGCAGAAGCAGTCGAGGTGGGGCGGAGTGGAGAGGACATCAGTGTTTCAGAGTCATGGCAGAAAGCTCTCAGATGATGCCACATTCAGAGTGGGACTCATAAGCCTGGGGTTTAGAAGAGGCTGGGGAGAGAGTTATAAATGTGGGAGCCACAAACCAGAGACAGCATTTATGGTATAGCCATGAAACAGCTGCAGTCACCTGAGGGAAGGGACTCCGGGACTGTAACCAAGTTCAAACTTGTTCTTCTAGCCACAGCACAGCAAGTAAGTCGAGAGGCAAGGAGTTGGAGCAGGGAAAGCAGCTTTATTTTGGAGAGCCAGCACACTGAGCAGATGGTGGACTAACGTCCTAAAGAACCATCTTAAGTCAGTAAAAGTTTCAGGCTCTTTTTATGTTAGGGGCAGGGGGAACAGGAAAGGGTTGGGATCAAGAGGTGACCAACAACCTCAGACTTGTGGGCACCAGTGACTGTCTGATGAGGCCATGAAACCTCTCTGTCCTTGGTCAGGCCACACGTTCCCACAAATCTTGAATACAACATGGTTTCTGTGCGTACACCCTCCTTATCTTCTTGGGGGGTAATTTTGGGAAAGGATTATTTTCATCCTTGCTTTAAAGTTAAACTGTAAACTAAATTCCTCCTATAGTTAGCTTGGTCTATGTGCAGAGAGGAGCAAAAGCAGTTAACCTAGAAGATATCACCTCCAGGGGGCAGGGGGTTAGGAGCGAAATGGGGGTAGCCATACTGGGCCTCCTTTTCACTGTCACAGGACTGAGCCGAGGAAGCATCCCAGTCTGGCTGGGAGCTGGGGGAGCGGGGCAGGGGGAACAGTAAAGAAACTGGAAAAAGTAACCTCACAGAAAGGGGAGGTCAACCATGGTACAAGATGCTGAAAATTCCAGCAAAATGAGAACTCTAAAATGTCCATTACAGTTTCTTACAAGATAAACACACAACTGCCTTATAATCCACAATCCCATTCCTTGGTCTCTACGTGGAGAAATGAAAACCTATGGCCACCTGCATGCGAATGTTTCTAGCAGGTATATTTGTAATCACCCAAACCTGGAGACAACCCAAATGCCCTTCAACAGGTGAGTAGATAAACAAACTGTGGTCATTCCATACAATAAAATCCTACTTAGTAATAAAGAGAACAAGCTACTGATACGCACACAATCTGGATCAAAATCATACACTTGAAAATGTATGATCCCATTATGTGACATTCTCCAGAAGATGAAACTACAGGAACAGAAAGCAGATTCACTATTGCCAGGGGTGGATGGGGAGAGGGAATAAAAAAAGGGTGCCATGAAAAATTTGGGGGGATGTAGAACCATTTTATATCTTGATTACAATGGTGGTAGCGTTTGTCAAAACAGAACTGTACCCTTAAGAAAGTGAGTTCATTTAACCTTAATTTTTAGAATGAAGAAGAACATAAATAAAAAATGCCCGATGAATCTGGCCATGTGGAAGTCATTGGTGACTTCTGGAAAAGCAGTTTGGGGGGACCACTGACATGGAAAACCAGCCAAAGAGGGACATGAGTGAGAGAGGGGCAAGAAAGGGGTGCCATACACTGAAGTCCCCTAGAATGTTCAGGGGAAAAGGAGGAAAAGCCGGAACTGATGGGGTTGAGGAAAGGGTATTTTTTAACCTCAGGAGCCAAGGGTTGAGCTGGCCGGAGTCCTAGTTCATGGCACACTTTCATCATCGTTTTGTGCAAGGCCTATTTCTTGTGCTTTCCTTTTGACCTCTGACCCCCACAGGCTCTCGTGCTCGTGTTTTTGACTCATGTCCTTGAGTGTGCAAGTGTGCCTTTTTGCAAAAATGAAACGCTTACTCTTTGTGTATCTGTCCTTTTAATTTACATAAATGGCATTGTGCAACAGACCTTGTTCTAGTTCTCTCTTTCTTCACTCAACACTTTTTTTGAGAAGCTCTTTTCTCGTGGTTATACATGCCTCGGGCTCATTGCTCTGAGAGCTGTGTAGTATTCAGTAGTGAGGGTCCACTGCACTTCCTTTCCATTCCTCTGGGACTCAAGGCTGCCTCCAGCTGCTGTGGTGGACATCTCTGTGTATGTCCTCTCATGGACCACGAGAGAATTCACTTGCAATGTAGGCCCAAGAGTGAAACTGCTGGGTCATAGTGTCCTCAGCCTCAGTCCTAACTACCAACCACCTTCCCTGATGACTCTACACATTTGCACTGCCATCAGCAGTGCAGGGGCACTAAGAAAGGAGCTGGCTTTTAGGAGGTGGGAGCAGATGGGGTCATTTCTTCCTCCACACCTCAGACTCCCATAGAGGAAGACAATTTTTAACTCTTCTCCCCAAGAGAGAAATGTACCTGAAGAATGTTTCTTATCTCCCTGCCTTTCATTCCCAGGAGGAAAATGGCTTATGGGGTTGATAGGTTTGTGAGCATGGACAGGGCAAGTGAGGCCCAGCAGCTCCTGGTTGCTCTCTCATGAGGATCCCTGCCCAGGTTATGGGTCTGTAGGACTCCTCTCCTCCACCTGGTCCACCTAAAGAGCCAGCTCTGCCCTGAGCAAGGGGAGCCTTAAGAGCCCTGCCTATCATGAGGATGAAGTATTAGGAAGCCTAATTGGTCAAGTCATCATCCTCAAGCATAACTGTAATAATCAAGCTGATATTTTAAGTTCTCTTTGAATCCTGTGGTTGTCTCCCAGTTGGTTTCATACTCAGAAAGAAATGGGGGGAAAAGACATGATTTATTGTTACCTTAAACCCCCAACATATTGACTCAAAGGCCTGAAACCTTGAGAAATGGGTACAAGGACAAGTATTTGGGGCCAAAGAGACAGGCTTTGGGCTCAGCCCAAGACCAAACCTAACAATCCTTTAGACTTTGGCAGGTGCAGGAGCAGCCTATATTGTGGCTGCGTGCTCCAGTTGTACACCTGCTCTTAGCTCACTGTGGCCTCTTGAAGAGGAAACTATCTTTTTTTTCTTCCTATATCAGGAAGGTTGAGACCCCAAGAAATCTAACAGAGGAAAAACATAGTTTCAGGGAGTTCAGTGGTATAACTTTCCCAGAGGGGGCCCAGATTCAAGAAACAATTGAGGAGCCTCAGCTTTTTAAAGTAGCAGATAGAGAATCTTTACTAAACTACATGGGAAGTAGCCCTTTCTCAGTGCTTAGAGATGGTATGGACAGATTTGGAAGGTCCCTAGCAAGAATGCATGGAACACATCACTAGGTGAGCCTCAGGGCATGTGCCCTTGGAAATATGCCTGGAATATTTAGGGAATCAGGACACAAAGGAAGGCAAAGGGGAGGCGAGACATGCCCAGGGGAGCCAGGCTGAGCAATAGTAGTAAAATGTTGATCATATAGATGGGCTTATCTAATTCATGGGGGAGAATATAGACAAGACTTACTTGAACAATTTACTTTATATCTCTGTGGTAGTTTGTACTGGGTCAACTTGGTTAAACGGGGAGCTTTGTCTCCCATAATACCCTCCCTTTACGGTTCTAGTTGAGAGGATGCCAGAAAAAACTCTGCATACAATTAGACAGTGGCAGTTAGCAATGGCCATTGCTCTCTGAAGGTCCTGGTCACATGGTGGCAACTAGACATAGAGGTGCCAGAGGATCCAGATTGTTCTCACCCTCCCCACTCAGCTTCCAGCTATTTGGTCTAATTACTGGTTCTGCTGACCAACAGCCCCCTCGGGCTCACCCCAGATGCTTGTGTACCACAGAGGTGGGGGCTTCCCAGAGACCTCCCACGAGCTTCCTCTTCACAGTTCTGCTTCACAAGCTAGACGTGCTTGGCTTCTCAAATTGGCTGGCTAGGGACTCCCTCTCTGATTCTTCAACTTCCCTCTGGATCTTTGATTCTCATAATTATTTAAGATTTAATTCTTACACATACACGCACACACATATACACACACACACAACTATATTCCCTAACCATAACCGCCATTAATGACTCTGCTCCTCTCTCTCATGATGGGAGACTCTGCCAGACAGAATCCTGAGGTGTACTTAGGTAAATCTGGGTCTCAGAGAAACAGGCTGGGAGGAAATAAGAGGAAAAAGGCATTTATGCCCATCGAACATTGGTGACCCTATATGTAGAGTAAAAGGACAGGGGATCCACTTAAGAAACAGGTCAAAATGCTAAAAACATACCCAAAACTCCCTGATAAAAGACAGGGAAATGAACACTGGAGGTTCACATGACACAGAGAGTGCTGCAGAGAACCAAGTGGCAGCAGAAAGATTCGTAGCTGCCACCCAAGTGGCACACATTCCAGGCTCTGGGGAAAAGGCAAATGATAGAGTGATGGTCCTCACCAGGTCCCTGGCACCTCAGGATTTAATGAGCTTCATGAGCTTGAGAAAATCAATATGAATACTCACGAGAGGTGTTGGAGGCTCTGCTTAAACTCAGTTTATCTCTGGGTTCAAGGAGCATAAAATTCAGACCGGAAGCGGTGGCTCATGCCTGTAATCCCAGCACATTGAGAGGCCAAGGCAGGCGGATCACTTGAGGTCAGGAGTTCGAGACCAGCCTGACCAACATGGTGAAACCCCATCTCCACTAAAAATACAAAAATTACCCAGGTGCAGCAGTGTGCGCCTGTAGTCCCAGCTACTCAGAAGGCTGAGGCACAAGAATCACTTGAACCCAGATGGCAGAGGTTGCAGTGAACTGAGGTCCTGCCACTGCACTCCAGACTGGGCAACAGAGTGAGACTCAGTCTCAGGGAAAAAAAAAAAATCGAGAGGGAATTTGGAAAAGAAGTTTTATACCCACAAGGTATTAAAGAGGAACACCTCAGTCAACACTTGGTAACTGGCTATGTCAATACTATATATTTAAAACTTCAGCTGAAAAATCAAAGTATCTAAAAAGCCACTCTATGAGAGAGAAAAGAGGGTGTAGCATGGATTTTTTCCCACAGGTATGGGGTTTCAAGTCAGAGTCCTCCAGATGTTGAACCTGAGACAAAGATTTTGGTGGAGGAAGATTATTTGGGAGATAGTCCAAAGAAGCACTAACAGTAGAGTGAGGAAGTGGGGCAGGAAAGGAAGGAAAGTCAACAAAGGGCATTGCATGGGCAACTGAGACCCAGTCCTGTTGGAGACCCTCTGAGAGACTGTGGTGCAATGCACCTTGGATTTGTGCCACTTAAGCAGCGAGGAAGCTGGGGTGCTTATCCAGCACTCCTCCTGTCCATCATTTCATAGAGGGGGCTGCTCCTGGGTCCTTAACTCATGAGCACTTCTGGCCAGTCCTACACCTCTTCCCACACTCAGGGAAAGCCTTCAGCTGGAGAGTCTCGAGTGTTCGCAGGAGGAAGCCATCAACGTCACAGGCAGAGTGAGGGCCGAGAGCATGCCGAGAGGGTGCCAACAGCATCAACCACATTTGGAAAACAAGTCCTCTAGTTAGCCTCTTGATGGGAAATTTCTCCTACTTGAGTTTTGTTCTCATGACACTGGACAACTAGCATAGCTTGAGGCTGGCATCACAATGAAGCTGAAACCAATATGAGCTTTTTACCCTCTCTCAGACCATGCTACATCTCAGCAATGGTCATATACGTTTGGTTTAATGCAAATAACAACTTTTTCTTGGAATAGTTGCTTTGCAGCCTTTTTCTTTTTCTTGTATTTCTGAATTCCATGGGTGTGCATCAGAGCTGTGAAAGTCTTATGTGTCCTCTTAACTCTCTTCTCTGTAAAACATGAGGCACTAGACTTTGGGTTAGATGAATTCAGCTTGGATGTTCTGAAGTAACAACACCCTAACTGTGGCTGCCGAAGGGATGTAGACTCTCTCCTTATATTCTTAGGCATATGAATGACATCTCTTTGTTGTGACAGTAGAGTTAACATTGACAAGAGTGATTTGGAGATTTTAATTTTCATGGAGTTCTTAACAATTTTTATTTTCTGTATCTTGGACTAGATTTACAAGCAGGTATTTGAATATTTGATAGTGGGAGGCTAAATGCTATTTTTCAAGTTTGGGACAGTTTTATATCACCACTATTATGATAATAGAGTTATTAAAATCTATCACTGGAGCTCATTACATGCCCTAAGCTGAGCCATTTTGTGCAACAGGCCATCATTGGAGATGGGAACAGAACAGAGTGAATTGTCAGCACAGGATGTAAGTCTCAGAGTTGGTTTAGTTAATGTACAGTGCTGATCTATTTCAGAGCTTTCAGGGAAAGAGCTAGATGGCCCACCCTGTGTTTTATAAGATTTGAGGGTTCTTCTGCTGACGAGACACAATACAACGAAACTTGCCCAGATGAATGGCAAAACTCTGGTAACGCACAGCTCCAAATAAGAGAACGCTGCCAGTCACAGCCACACACAGGGGGTTGTGCCCGGGGAGCAAGGTAACAGCAATCTAAAGATGTAGGGGCTGCCTGTATATAAGTGAGGGTGAGGTTAGCTAGAGTTTGCAGGCTCTCTGTGGGTTGGCTTATTTGAACAATTTTGTGGGCTCTGGGGCATACAGGTTCTCCCTAGTTGTCTGGTACCTGGCCCTGACTTGGTCAAGACAGCTTTATAAAAAGAATTTTTTAAAAGAAAACTAGATTATACCCTTGATCTCAGAATGATGAAATAGTTGATTGGTCTTGGGGTGAGGCTACATTACTATGCCAGTGAGTGCCCCCTAAGAATTACAGATCTCTTCCCCTTAGGAGGTGATTACACCCTTGGCTGACCATAGTTGAGACCTGGTATGTAAGTGGACAGACTCCAGTGTATTCGAGAGCACCATCTTCCCCTGCTGTTCTGCCTTCACACCAAGTCAGGTTCTTAAGATGTGGAAAGACCAGCACATTCTTGGGAAGCAGTCTTCTGCTCTCCTCTTCATCCCTACTCCTTTCTTCCATGGGATCAGGAAGGACTGAGTGGGTTGTGAGGCTAGAAGGATGAATGAACTCAGGTGGCTCGCACCTACCCTCTGCCCCTAGTGTCTGCCCTGCTCCATCCTCCTTTGTTGGGTGAACTCTCCCAGGAAGGCTCTGCCCCTAAGGCTAGGAAGGTCTGAGGTTGTACATTTAAACAAGTGAGTAAATCCAACTCAGGGTCAAAGAAGAAGGACGCTCGCTGTTGCCTAAAACAAGTTTATGTTAAGCCCATTGTTGCCTAAACCAATTTAGCTTTACTTCCAACAAAACTTGTTCTGTACCTCGATCTTCATTTGTCTGACTCCTGCAATACTCCCCCCTTACACAGAACTCTGATATGGAGAGTCAAGGTAGTATCAATGTGCATGCAAGGCCACCAAACATTTTCCCACGGACATGAGTGCTACTCCTCCTATCCAGAGGTGGACCTTTCCCTTTGAATCTGGACTGCTCTTGTGACTTGCTCTGACCAGAAGACACATTTGTCATAAATGAAAATTTGAGATTCCTAAGTCCAGCCCTGAAGGTGTCTTGTAACTCCTGATTTTGCTCAGAGGAAAATTCACCATGTGCAGAGTCCACACTGTACTGTTGGAGAGAGAGGTCAAGTGGAGAGAGGTCTTGATAGATGAGACAACACATGGAAACAGAGGACATGTGGAGGAGAACTAGGGCCCAGATACAGGAGGGAGCCCATGAGAAGAAAAGAAGCCCAACAACCCCAGCCAAGCCCCAGGTGATGGAGCCTCCCCAGCTGAGGTGCCAGACATGTGAATGACACCATCTTGGACTCTCCAGCCCCAGTTGAATAGTGCCAGTCAATATCATGAGTAGCAGACACAAGCCATCCCTACTGAGCTGTTCACATTGTTGAGCAACAAAATGGTTGTTGTTTAAGTCATTAAATTTTGGAGTGGTGTGTCACCCAGGTACGGATAGCCACAGCAGCCTGTACCCTCGACAGTGAGATATTAGGGTTGCCTGGGTGCAAATGAGAATATCATAATTAAAAAGAGGGCTAAAGATGCAGAATAGAGTGGGTGTGGAGTCTAGAGTACATGAAGGGGCATGGCCTGAGACGGTGCAAGCACTGAGAAGATGGTTAGAGATTCTGGTAAGATTGTAGATTTGGTGGTGTGAAGACTAGGCAGTTTCATGCTAACGGTGTGGGTTTTCTTGGTGACATTTGAGATGAGATTATAAGCCGAATGGGAATTGGTGGATGTATTTTGAGGACTGAGAAGGAGCTAGAAAGTGGTCATCTTGTATCATGGGAAGGTAGCCCTTGGAGTAACATGGTTCGACTCCCGAGCAGTGTTGAATGTTCATTTGTGGTAGGTAAGCATGAAATTGACTTGAAGCTGGCCTGTTAAGCAATGCTTAGCTGCTAGGATGCAGGACTGAGATGATGGAGAGAGGGCAGGACACTGTGGTTCTCCACCCTGTCTTAACATGGGAATCACCTGGGAAGCTTTTAAGTATCCCCTAAGTGACTCCTTTCAAACAAACAAACAAAAACAAAACTGATACCTACATTTTATCTTCCCATTCCTGGAATTCTTGATTTAATTGGTATAAGGTAAAGTCTGGACATCAAATCCAGTGGTGTCTTCCAACCAGCCTTGTGGCCAGGTCTGACATTTACAGCCATATTGGCCACATGCTGCACAATTCCAGAAGGCTTCATTCACATAATCTATATTGGAAATAGTTTGTTCTAAATTTGTGCTGTACACAACCTTCAAAACTGTATACGGTTGGCTGATCTATCCAGCCTTATTCTGTTTGCAAAATTCCTTTTTAGCTTTCTCAACACCACTCTCTCCCTCTTCCCTTGCTACCACTTTGACTACTCTTTCTCATGTTCTTTCAACTTGCACTCTCTCCTTGAGGAAATTAATCAGCTCCCAATCTCCAGCCACCTCTTTCCGCACTCATGAGTCACAGCTCCAAAGCTCGTAAGCCTTGCCACCCACGCAACCTTCAGGCATTTCAAACCCATATTAACCTTGCCCCTCTTCTTTCCACATTCTCTTTCCTAGTTAAAGACAGTGCTTCCTATTAAGGCACCCAACTTAGAAAACTAAGTCTCCTCTGGCTGTGTCCTCCCCATGCTGTACTGTTGTCCACCCCTCAGAGCCTTGCTGTCTCTGTCTTAGACACTTTACAGCTGTCCCCAAACCGATGTCATTTTCTCTAATGCATACTCCACATTACATGAAGGGTGTCTTCAAAAACAAACATTGAATGCTCTTTCTCCCCCAGTTAAAACTCTTCAGTGATTCCAAATGTTCACTGGATAAAGTCCTAAGTCCTTACATTGGCATGTCAGGTCCTAGAACACCAGACCCAAACCTACCCTGCTAGAATTGCATGCCACCTACTCACTCCTCATCCACCTTATGCGCAAACACACATCATATCCATGCTCCTTTCTTCCTGCCTTTTCCCGAGTGCTAGGGACTGAATGTTTGTGTCCCCCCAAAATTCATATGTTGAAACCCTAATCCCCAGTGTGACAGTGTTTGGAGGTGGGACCTTTGACAGGTAATTAGGTCATAAAAGTGGAGCCCTCATGATGAGATTAGTGCCATTATAAAAAAGAGACAGGAGAGAGCTTACTTTCTCTCTCTTTCTCTCCTTTCATTCTCTCTCATTCTCTCCCCCTCTCTCTCTGCATGTGTGTGTGCACGCCATGGGAGGATACAAGAGGGCAGCCTTCTGCAAACCAAAAAGCAGGTGCTCACCAGACACCAGATTTTCCAGTGCCTTGGTCTTGGACTTCCCAGCCTCCAGAACTATGAGAAATAACTTGTTGTTTAGCCACCAGTCTATGATATTTTTGTTACAGCAGCACAAACTAAGCCACCATGAAATTCCCTTTGTCTGAATGCTCATTCTGTCTCTATCACACCCATTTCTATGCAACTTCAAAGCTTAGTTTGTTATCCAACCCTCCCTTTATGCCCCCTCTGCAGTACTAGAAAGTCTTTTCTCTCTGTGCCCTTACTCTTAACCACACCATACATTTCTACCCAACTGTAGACCTCATAGATCTTTAAGAGAAGAATGTTGTTCGTATTTTCCTTGTGTCTCCAGGGCCTGGTATAGTGTACGATCCCTATTAGGTACTCAATAAATAAGGAATGGATACTCTGCCGGTAAGAAGTGGCAAAGGGTGAACTTGGACTCACAGGTGCTAGCTAGATGCATTTACTCGTACACCCAATGCAATTACAGGTCTTGGGTGATTTAAAAGCTGTTTCTGCAGGGGCCGATAAATCTTTTACAAAGGCTTTGCCATCCAACATACTTATTCAGCTTGTCTTTGGCTGTTTATATGCACTGGATAATACCACCTGGGACTCTGAGAGTCCTACCAACAAGCCTGCACGGCAGGAGACAATCAGACTTGTTTCTGTTTGTTCTCTGGTACCTTTGCCACCACCAGGAGAATGAGATTCCTGGGTTGGGCCACTGCTCCCAGGAAGATGATGAAAGAGAGCTCGAATATTAAGCACTTATTGTGGAATACCAGTGAGGTTTTAGGGTTCTTGTTATATAGTGTTATTTTGGCTCTATATGGCTTATTTGATGGCCATTGCCCAGATTAATCAGAAACGCAAAGAGGACAAAGGGCAAAGGCAGAATGATGTCAAATAGGATTGACAAATGCCATCATCAGAGAAGCAACATGCACACTCAGGACAGGTGGACTGGGGGTTGAGAGATCAAGCGCAAATGAGTGGACTACCCTCCAAGCTGGAGGCAGGTGAGGCAGAGGGAGAACTCTAAGGAATTTTCCCATAAGTGGCTTGGGCTGTCTGTCTGGAGCTTGTTCTCATTGGTGCCTGCATGTAGATGGCTCAGCATCACTGCATCACTCTCCCAGCAGGTAGAACATTCAAGGTTGAGGTGGCTGCTTGCTGGGAAACAGGAGAGCTGGGTCCTAGTTGAAGATTTTCTGCACAGTCTCTCAGTGAGCCAAGGCTGGCCACTGCTCCTAAGTCTCAGGTTCCTCCTTAATAAAGGAAGGTTTTGCACAAATTCCTGTATCATTCAGGATGGGCTTAGGATGGGCTTAGGTTATATAGCAATAGCAATCCCCCATCCCCAAATTTCCGTTGCTTTAAAAACAAACCAAAAAAAAACTTTTATTTAAGGCTTATTGATGTTGTCCTCAATGAGGACTCAGGGTGACAAAGCAGTCACTTTCTAAGCCATTGCCAGTCACCAAGGCAGAGGGTAAAGAGAGAGGCTCAAGGCCTGTACTGACTCAGCTCCTGCCTGGAAGGAACCCTCCACTCACTTTCACAGGCCAAGGCTTATCAATGACCACATCAAACTTCAGACATATAGGGAAATGCAATTTTGCCCTGTGCTTGGAAGGAGAAAGACATGGAACATTTGCAAACAGCCCCAATGAATACTATACTCCCTCATACTCTAGATATTTTTAATATTAAAAAATTAAATGTTTCCTCTTTCCAGCTGCAATCACCAATTCTGCCTCTCTGTCTATTTCTTCCATGATGTGATTTCTCAACCGCGTGTATGGAACTCAGATATTGACTGAAGTCATTCTGTCTTTGAGATTTAAGTAAAACTGGCTTGAATCAGCATCTCTCCTCCTGCAGAAAGTCCAATGCCCTTCTTCTATGAGCATTCTGCAATTCCCTGGCATTGCTTCCCGGGTCACCTCCACCAAGTCCTGACCTCACTTGTGTGCCACTTGCAATGGCTTTTTTCTTCTCTCCACTCCAGTCTGACATGAAATCCAGCCTCTTTTTCTTGATTTCCCCTAATTTGCCCACACAAAACATCAATGTCAAGAGCACACTTTGCTGAAGGTTTGGATGGGGCTATTTATGTCACGGCAACACAAACGACTTAAAAATGAATATCAGACATTCTTGTTCTCCTGAGTGTTTGGGTCACCCTGCCACTGAGAATTTCTCTCTGTGCTTTTCTCTGCAGGTGAAACCCCTCATCATTGGCTATTTCCTCTCTTGCCAGCTCTTACCCATTCTTCATTATGAACAGTAACAACTCCCCACCTTCTACTTGGCTCCAAACATATGTTTTCACATACAGATGTTCAAAGTGTCCTCTAAACAAAGAGCCATCCGCTGCAGGTCCTGAGCCACTCAGAAGACCTGACAGAGACTTGAAATTCCAGCTGTTCCTCCCCCACCCACATCCCTGGACCCTCCATGAGTACAAGAGAGCAGTGTAGAAATTTATGTGTCCACCAGTGCAGGTATTTCTGCCTTCCCCTGCCTCTTCCCTTAAAAGGCTAAAGCTAGTTTTAGCTTTAAATAACTCTTTCCCTCTGTTAAATACAGACGTTTCATGAAGCAGTCATACAAATGCCAAGCACTGTGCCCCACCACAAACCCATGGGGATGGTACTATGTTTATCCACATTTTACTAATGAGAAAACAGGCTTGGGGAGGAAAGTAGTTTGCCCAGGGTCTCCTGCACAGCTCTGAAACCCAGGTCTGTAGGACAGCCAGCTCCTCTTCTCTCTGTTTCAAAAGTGCATCACTCTGACCTCGTGCACTTTACAGGTAAGGCCTTCTGCCCAAAATGGTTCAAGAAAAGCTAGCAAGATTACATGAAAGTGGCTTTACAGCCATTCCTTGACCTTTACCTTGATTTTGAAATCCAGTTGTAAGTCAGCAAAGGGGATGGTCCCCTCCACGTGCCAGGCTATGCTGACTGCACTGAGGAGGAGAAAAGAGGAGATGGAGAAGGACTTGCATTCAAACCCGCTGAGCTTACAGCTAAGTCAGAAGAAGCAGGACTTTCTGGCATGAAGGGGCTAGTGGAGGTCCCCACCCCCCTCTGAAGTGTCGAGGGAGAGAGCTCCAGGAGGATTGGGTGGGCTGTGGAGGGAGCTGTTCAGGACTGCTTCAAGAAGATCTTGCCAAGCCTTGTCTATATGGGGCAGTTAATAAACATTCTCTTATACTTTCCCCTCTTCTGAAAAAGAAACTTCTGTCCCATCCTGCTCCAAAGCTCAATGGCTTTTGAGTCCAGGCATGCTAAGGGTGATCACAGTTTTTCTGTCTCCCAGGCTTTGCACAGAACCCTAGAGTATATCTCTGGCAAACCCTCTTCCCTCTTTGACTTCCTGGCTACAGCCATTACCATTTTGCAGTGCAATGGGAAAAGCTCTAACAATCTGGGTTCAAATCCCACCTCTACTACTAATTGCTGAGGGATCTGGGACTCTGCTCACCCTCTTTGAGGCTCAGCTTCCTATCTATACAATCAAGACAATGGAACCAGGGCCAGGAGCAGAGGAGAAAATGTGGGTTCATTGTAATACTGGGGACATTTAATCATATATCTACTATTTCTGAGCACTGGTCTCTAGAGTGGGCAGCTGTCATTTCCACTGCACAGAGTTCATCCGAACTCCTTTTCCACTACAGGTTCATCCAAGGAAGAGTGGGAGGTAGCCCAACTTTTGGCTATGGAAATTGGGGAGATATTTCTTTTTCCATGCCTCCTGGCAACTAAATATGGGTTCACAACATAAACATGGCCAATCAGACATTCACACCCAGGATTTTGAACATAAAAGGAATGACACAAAGGACTATGATCTGTTGAAGGTTTCTCAGTGTGACTGGAGTGGAATAGAGGATGCCAGGCAGGGTATGGTGGAGATGCCTGCTGTGGAAGGAACAGAGTGTTTCAGGTGACTGGGTCCTCATGGTCAGACAGTGCCTGTGGCTGCACCTTTCACTCTCTGGATCCCCCATGTCTTCTGTAAACTGCCCAAAACCCTTCTGATAAATCCCACTCAGACTTAAGTTAATCAGAAGCAGTTTTTGTTGCTTCCAGCCAACAGTTCTTACTCATACAGTCTCTCAAATGCTATCGTCTGTAGATGAAGCAAACCTAATACTTAAAATATGAACTGTTTCTTAAGTGTAGGCCAATAAGAGATGGGCAGTTTGGTTCTTCACAGGCTGACCTGGCCGTGATTCCTAGGTCTATTTTTCCAAGGCTATCACTCAGGATGTGAGTTACTCATGGCTACTTCCTACCAAGTGGTCCGCATTCATCCATAATCAACACACATTTGTTGAGCTCCTAAGGTATGCAAGAGATTCAAGTCAAAGGGCACACAGGTAAAACAGGGTTTTCTTTCATTAAGGAGCTTTCCAGTCACCCTAAAATTCAGTTCCTAAAGGAAAGACAGTATAACTGTTTGATTCTTCCCCTTTAATTACCATTTTCCAAATAGCTGTTTCAAATGGTGATGAATTAGGTTTATTTTTTCCTGTTCTCTCTGTCTCTCTCTCTGTGTGTCTTTTCTCTTTCTCTTTCGTGTTCTCTCTCTCTCTTTTTGGAAGATAAACCAAGTGACATTGTTGGATCATTTGGGAAAGCTTGCATATGGTCTGAATATTGGTCGGATGATATAAAAGTATACTATAGCAGAAAGATGCAGATTGTGAATTGAAAAAAAGCACATTAAAATCACCACGATCTCATTTACTACATATATGTATAAAAGTATACACACAGAGAAAGATCTGGAAGGATATGCACCAATGTGTTGCGAAATGGGGTCCCCTGGGAAGTGGGAACATCTTAATAATGTAAATGCTTGATTATACATATTTATAATTTTGTACAATTTACATGTCCTGCTTTGGTACTAATAAAAAGCTTTCCTTTTTAAAAAGAGAAGTGAAATAAACCACTTAGTACAATACCTGGCATATACTAAGAACTCCAGAAATAGAAGTTATTTTTAAAAGTCTCCTTACTAAAACAACTACATATAAATATTTGGTAGTTACTAATTACTTTGAAAAAGATGATACACCATTTAGAGCAATTTTGGAGACAGTTAATATTTGGATACAATCAGATACCTTAACTGTTTCAACCACTGCTTAGTCTAGCTTTGTTTTGCTACTTCTGATTTATAACCAGCAACATTTTTTCATAATTTTCATGGCCATATTTATATTTCAATAAATGGAAATATACAGGCTCATCTTGAATACACAAAAAGCTTCCCACTCTATGAAGGTACCAACAGTTCTTTCAAGGTTTTTCAACCTCGGAACTGTTGACATTTAGGACTGGATAATTTTTTGTTGAAGGAGGCTGTCCTGTGTATTGTAGGATGTTTCACAGCATCCCTGACCTTTACCCATAAGATGCCTGTAGCACTCCCTTCACCCCAGTTGTGGCAACCAAAAATGTCTCCAGACACTGCTGAATGCCTCCTGAGGGGAAAAATCACACACACACTCACATCTGACAACCACTGCTTTGTCATTTCCCTACAGATGGATACTTAAGTTGCTATGCATTCTCCCTATCACAAACAATTCCATGATATAAACTACCTTATGTGTGTATATATATATGTGTGTGCTTGTATGTGTGTGTGTGTGTGTGTATACACACACACATACATACACATCTTTGTCCATTTGTCTGATCATTTTCTTAGAATATATTCCTAGCATTAGAACATCTGGATCAAATATTCTGGACACATTTTTAAGGATTTTGATACATCACGTCAAATTTCCCTCCCTCTAGGTTATCCTTACGTTCCTTTCCCATCTACAGATATGTAGTAGGTACCACACCCAAGTCACCTCTGGGTGTTTTCATTCTGGTTAATATTTGCTAATCCAACTGTATAAAAATGGTATATATACACATTATTTTCCATATAAAAGATGGTATATTGGTGAGTATACTAGTTATTTTTCTTCTTTTTTGGAATCTGAGTATTTATATATTAATGATGTTAATCCTTTGTTTACCACCCATATTGAAAGTATTTCTAGTTGCTAATTGTCTCTTGAGCTTATGATTGCTGTTGCTGTACTGAAAATGTTATTTTTAACTCATAAAATCTTATCACTTTTTGGTTTCTGGACTTGGTGTCTGCTTAGAAAAGTTTTTTCCTACCCCAAGATTATCAAATGGTCAGCCATTTGTGCAAACACAATATTTTGTCTATTGATTCAAAATGCCAACTTTATTATATACTACATTCTGTGTCTGGATTTCCTAATCTTTTCCACTGATCTGTCCATTTTGTTCTATGCCAACATCATATTCTTATTAACTTGGCTTTAAAATATCTTTTAATATCTGGTGGTAAAATCTCTTTATATTACTTTTGTTTTTAAAATTGTCTTGGATAGTCTCACATAGTAGCCATCATTACATTCTTTCAGAATAACATTTCTCTAGTGTTTTGCATTTTTCTAGAAAAAGTGGTACATGTTTTTAAGAGTTCAAATAATAACAGAAATATTCAGGAGATGGCAGATTGAGAAGCTGTGCTAGCCTCACTTTCCTTTGCAAGATCCTTAGAAATGACAGAAAAGATACTTTTGAAAGAACAAATGTGGTCAGGCACGGTGGCTCATGCCTATAATCCCAGCACTTTGGGAGACCAAGGTGAGAGGGTCACTTGAGTCCCGCCTGGGCAACATGAGGAGACCCTGTCTCCACAAAAATAAAACAATTAGCCAAGCACAGTGGGGCATGCCTGTAGTCTCAGCTACTCAGGAGGCTCAGGTGGGAGAACTGCTTGAGCCTGGGAGGTTGAGGTTGCAGTAAGCCATGATCGCATGCGACTGTATTCCAGCCTGGACAACAGAGCAAGACCCTGTCTAAAAAAAAATACAAAAACAAAGAATAACTCCATGGAAATATCAGCAAACAAGGAGTGCACTGGTGGTCCTAGGTGGACCATAAATTATAAGACATACCTGAATTAAGAAAAGTAGATGGAATTGGATTGAAGGAGGAAACCACAACCCAAAAGATGTTCAGAGAAACTTGCTGCAAAAGTTAGGAGAGACTCTAGAAATGCTCCAAGCTCAGAGTCAATGAATATATGAAGTGAGTGGCATCCGAGACATACCAATAGGAAAATTAGTTAGGGATAAACTCTGTCTCCTCCCTGTCCCTATCCCTCTCCCTATGGTAGCACTGGGTGCCAGTGCTTTATCATAAAGGCTAGTGGTTTCCAAAAGGGGCAGGCAGCCATCAAGCCCAGATAATATCTTACACAATTGGCATCATATCCATCCCTGCTCCTACTGGAGATAGGCTGCAGGTAACAAATGCAGGCTTCAAATAGAGAAATACACACACACACACACACACACACACACACACACACACGGCTAATCAAAGTCTTGAGGGAAACTAACACCATTCACAAACAGAATCCCAACTCAACAAAGAAGAAAAACCAACACCTGGGACAAGGAGAAACATAAATATCTATCAAATAAGAACATGCTGTCTGACAAAAGAGCCAACTAGGAATCTTGGAAATAAAAAATGTGATGTAATTTGTATGTCTTATTTTGAGAAATGTCTGTTCATGTCGTTTGCCCACTTTTTAATCAGGTTTTGTTGTTGTTGTTGTTGTTGTTTGTTTGTTTTGCTGTTGAGTTGTTTGAGTTCCTTATAGATTTTGGATATTAGCCCTTTATCAGATGTATGGTTTGCAAATATGTTCTACCAATCCATAAGTTGTCTCCTCACTGTTGTTTCCTTTGCAGTGCAGAAGCTTTTTAGTTTGATGTTATCCCATTTGTCTATTTTTGCTTCTGTTGTCTGTGTTTATGGAGTTCTATCCAAAAAATTATTGCCCAGACCAATGTTGTAGAGATTTTCCCCTATGTTTTCTTCTAGATATTTTAAAACTTCAGTTCTTACATTTAACTATTTTATCTGTTTTGAGTTTATTTTTGTATATGGTGTGAGATAAGAGTCCAATTTCATTCTTCCGCATGTGGCTATCCAGTTTTCCCAACACCGTTTATTGAAGAGACTGTTCTTTCCCCATTGCATCTTCTTGGCAACTTTGTTAAAGATCAATTGACTGCAAATACTTGGGTTTATTTCTTGGCTTCCTAAACTGTTCCATCAGTCAATGTGTCTGTTTTAATGCCGATACCATGCTGTTTTGATTACAATAGCTTTATAATGCATTTTGAAATCAGGGAGTATGATGCCTCCAGCTGTGTTCTTTTGCTCATGATTTCTTGGTTATTTAGAGTCTCTTGTGGTTCTATACAATTTTAGGATTTTTTTTTCTATTTCTGTGAAAAATGACATTGGAATTTTGATAGGAATTGCATTGAATCTGTAGATCACTTTGGATAGTATCAACATTTTAACAATATTAATTATTTCAATACATGAACATGGTATATCTTTTCATTTGTGCTTCTTCAATTCTTCCATCAATGTTTTATAGTTTTTAGAGTGCAGATCTTTCAACTCCTTAAGTTTACCCTAAATATTTTATGCTACTATAAATGCAATTGCTTTCTTAATTTCTTTTTCAGATAGTTCACTGTTGATGTACAGAAACACTACTGATTTTGTAACCTGTAACTTCAATGAATTTATCAGTTCTAACACCTTTTTTTTTTTGGTGGAGTCTTCAGCGTTTTCTATATATAAAATTATGGCATCAGTAAACAGAGACAATTTCACCTTTTCCTTTTCTCTGTGGATACCTTTAATTTCTTTTTCTTGTCTAATTGATCTGGTTAGGACTTCCAGTATTATACTGAATAGAAGTGGAGAGTGGAAATTCTTATCTTGTTGAATATGCAAGATACATCATTGAGTATGATGTTAGCTGTAGGCTTGTCATAAATGGCCTTTATTGTGGTGAGGTACATTCCTCCATACCTTCTTTGTTGAGAGTTTTTATCATAAAGAGATGTTGAATTTTGTCAAATGTTTTTTCTGCAACTACTGAAATGATCATGTGGTTTTCAATCTTCATTTTGTTAATATGGTGTATTGCATTTATTGATTTATGTATGTTAAACCATCCTTGCATCCCTGGAATAAATCCTATTTGATCATAGTTAATAATCTTTTTAATGAGCTATTGAATTTGCTTTGCTAGTATTTTGTTGAGATTTTTTTTGTACCTATGCTTATCAGGGGTATTAGCCTGTAGTTTTCTTCTTTTGTAGTGTACTTCTCTGACTTTGGGTATCATACAAGTGGCCAACAGATATATTTTTAAAATGTTCATCAGGGAAATACAAATTAAAGCCACAATGAAATATGGCCTCACACCTGCTAGAATGACTATTATCAAAAGGCAAATGATAACAAGTTGGCAAGGATATGGAGAAAAGACAATTAATGCAGGCATTTTGGAAAATAGTTTGGCAGTTCTTCAATATAAATATAGAACTACCATATGATCCAGTAATCCCACTTCTGGTTATATATATAAAGGAATTGAAATTGGTACATCAAGGAGATATCTGCACTCCCATGTTCATTTCAGCATTATTCACAATAGCCAAGATATGGAAGCAACCTAAGTGCCCATCAGTGAATGAATGGATAAAGCAAATGTATATATACACAATGGAACACTATACAGCCTTTAAAAAGAAAGACATTATGTCACTTAAGACAACATGGAGGCCAGGAGCAGTGGCTCACGCCTGTAATCCCAGCACTTTGGGAGGCCGAGGTGGGTGGATCACAAGGTCAGGAGATCGAGACCATCCTGGCTAACATGGTGAAACCCCGTCTCTACTAAAAATACAAAAAAATTAGGTAGGCATGGTGGCAGGCGCCTGTAGTCCCAGCTACTTGAGAGGCTGAGGCAGGAGAATGGCGTGAACCAAGGAGGTGGAGCTTGCAGTGAGCCAAGGTCGTGCCACTGCACTCCAGCCTGGGCAACAGAGCGAGACTCCGTCTCAAAAAACAAAAAAGAAAAAAATTGATAAAACTGAAGAACATCATGCTTAGTGAAATAAGCCAGGCACAGAAAGACAAAAAGAAAAAAAAAACCGTATTATCTCACTTACATGTAGAATCTAAAAAATTTGATCTCATAGAAACAGAGAGTAAAGGGGTGGTCACTAGAGGCTGGGGGCAGGAAAAAGGAAGGGATGAGGAAAAGGAAGATGTTGAACAAAGATTACAAACTTTCAGTTAGACTGGAGAAGTATGTTTCAGTAATCTATTTCACTGCATAGTGACCACAGTTAATAATAATGTATTGTATATTTCAAAATTGCTACAATGTTTTTAGTGTTTTTACCATAAAAAAATAAGTTGGTGAGGTGATACATATGTTAATTAGCTTGATTTAATTTTTCTCAATGAATACATAGATCAAAACATCACATCGTGCCCCATAAACATACATAATTATTATCAATTTAAATAAGTGGGAAAAAAGAAAAGAAAAAGTTGATGAAATAAAAACTCAAGACATTGGATAATACGAAGGTCATAGCTAAAGAGCACATTGGTGAACTGGGAGAAAGAGCCAACGTACCTTCTGGTAAAGATGTCAAACTGACTATAGGCAAGAGTCACCTGTGCTACTGCAATAAGCAGACATACATGGATAAAATGTGATGTTTACACATACATTGTTAAGCTGAAAGGTAAAAATAGAAAAACATTCCGGGTGTCAAAAATGAAAAGGAAACCTACGTTTAAAGCAATGAGCACATCTGATCCACGAAGTCCCTGGGTGAACTGAGGATGGGGAGGGAGAAATGTAGACCAAATACATGTACGAGGGAATGGGGACTTATGATCACACAGGCCTGGGATGTAAGGTCTCAAGTTTTGTGCATCACAGGGAACCAGAAAATAATGTTCTATCTATGAATGAGGGTAGAAAAATCTCTACTTGTTGATCCCTTCTAAGCCATATGAGAAAATAGAAATAGAGTCACTTATGAGTGATTGGAACATGAATTCGTGCCAAGCTTGGGCATAAGGCAGGGATTCCCATGTCTCTGGCAGTACAGAAAAAAAGAAGAGGAAGAAAAGCAAAACAAATGATTGATATTTACTCATTCAAAGACACAATTCTAAATAACATTTCTTAGCAAAAAAGTCAGCATGAAAAATTATAAAACATTTAAGAGTGAATGACAAGGAAAGAAAGGAAAACTTGTGGTGTACAGAAAACATGCTTGAAGGGAAATGTATCTGTTAGATGCTGGAACTCCTAAATTGATTCTCTGTTATGATTATCTGTTCTCTTTATCAAAGGGTAAAAAGATATGTCTTTCTCCTCTTCCATTTTGGGAAATTTATTTGACATCAACTTCTAGGTCATCCATTGTGGGCGGCAAGCCACCCAGGCGCCGAGGCAAGAGACAGAGGACACGAGCTGTTCCAGTAAAATCAAACATAAAACAAGAATAGTTATACCAGATAAAGATCTTAGATATGATTATATATGAATATCATTAATCATTAGTTTGTAGCAATTACTTTTTATTCCAATATTATAATAATCTTCGCTCTACAATCATAACCTAGAAAAAGCCAGGCCATACAAAGATAGGAGCTGAGGGGACATAGTGAGGTGTGACCAGAAGAAAAGAGTGCGAGCCTTCTGTTATGCCCAGACAGGGCCACCAGAAGGGCTCCTTGGTCTAGCGGTAATGCCAGCGTCTGGGAAGACGCCCGTTGCCGAGCGGACAGTGGTCTAGCGGTAGCCTCAGTGTCAAGGAAAAACACCGGCTACTTAGCAGACCGGGAAAGGGAGTTTAGAGAAGACTCTGCTCCTCCACCTCTTGTGGAGGGCCTGACATCAGTCAGACTGGCCCGCAGTTATCTGGAGGCCTAACCGTCTCCCTGTGATGCTGTGCTTCAGTGGTCACGCTCCTAGTCCACCTTCTTGTTCCATCCTGTACACCTGGTTCTGCCTTCTAGATAGCAGTAGTAAATTAGTAAAAGTACTAATAGTCCCTGATATGCAGAAATAATGGTGTAAGCTGTCTTTCTCTCTGTCTCCTCTCCCTCAGCTGCCAGGCAGGGAAGGGCCCCCTGTCCAGTGGACACGTGACCCACGTGACCTTACCTATCAATGGAGATGACTAACACTCTCTACCCTGCCCCTTTCGCCTTGTATCCAATAAATAACAGTGCAGCCAGACATTCGGGGCCACTACCGGTCTCCGCACATTGGTGGTAGTGGTCCCCCGGGCCCAGCTGCCTTTTCTTTTATCTCTTTGTCTTGTGTCTTTATTTCTACACTCTCTGGTCGTCGCACACAGGGAGAGACCCACTGACCCTGTGGGGCTGGTCCCTACAATCCATTGAATTTTTTATTTTGCCAATTACATATTTAATTTCCAAGAAACTCTTTCTTATTCTCTGTTCCATTTTATCACAAGCTATACTTACCTTATGGATGTCATATCTTGTCAATTATATTTGTTAATTTTAGGGATGCTTTATAGATCATTTTGTTCACTTACTTATTTGTGTCCTCAGGAGTCCATTGGCAATGAAATCTATTGCTCAGTGATCTGCTATTTGCCAGTCACTCTCCTGGGCACTCCAGGGAACAAAATAGAGTCCTTGCCCCTATGGAGCTTATGTTCTACTTGGGAAAGAAAGAAAATAAACCCACAAACAAACACATGAAATAACATTAGATATTGAGAACTGCTATGAGAGCTGAGAAATAAAGGTAGAAACTCACCGAGATGGGTACCATATGTGTGGGGGACAGTCTGTGCCATTTTATTACATGTGTAGATTTGTGAAACCACCACTACATTCAAGATTCAGAACTATTTTTTGTCTCTGATCCAGGAGTCTTAAGGGAAAAAAAGATTCAGAACTATTCTATCCCCAGAAATACCTCTCTTACGCTATACCCAAAGATTTCATGCTATAACTATAGAGCTTCAAACATCAAAAAAGAATTTAAGCTCCTAGAAATTCAAAAGACAGGTCACATACAAAGAAGCTGACTTCTCACTATCAGCTATAGATGCCAGAGAAGAAAGGAACAATATGTTTAAGGTGCAAAGAGAAAAGAATGCTATACCCAGCTAAGCCTTCCATTCAAGAGCGAGGGCAAGTTAAATATACTTTCAGACATACAAAGGTTGAAAAGAGTTACTAAAAACATACTTCATCAAGAATAAACATAAGCCCCAAGAGAAGAAATGAGATCCAAGAAATGTTAAATAAAAGGGAGTAAACTGGTTTTTTAAAGTTCATAAATCTAAAAAGAAAATTTAATGTATATAAATAATAATTGTCATGTTTAAAAACCAAGTGAAACCAAATTATACCCCAGAAATAACATACAGGATGTAGAGGGGATAGGAGAATTCTAAGATAATTGCCTTATTTAAAGGGAGAAGAGAGACTGACTTGGCTTTAGATTGTGTGAGAACCATGTAAAGTTAAGTAAATGCGGTAAAGTTTTTAGTTTAACCACCAAAAGAATGTAATTAAAAATGGTCTTCCAAACAGTGGAGAGGCCAAAGGGCATAGCAAACACTATCAAGATTATAAAATGCAAGAAAGAAGGTCACAGAAAGATGAAGAAAAAGGGCACAGTAAGTGGAAAAAATAACAATAAATACAAATACAAATGTATCAGGAATCATGATAAATGTAAATGATTAAACTCACTTAGTGAGGGACTGAAAAATCTCAGGTTGGATTTTTTTCTAATCCTTATTTTGAAATAACTATAGATTCACAAGAAGTTACAAAGACAGTACAGAAAGGCCCTATGTAAACTTCATTTAGTTTTTTTCAATGATTACATCTTACATAATTATAGTACAACATCAAAACCAGACAATTGACATGGGTACAACTTGTTACAGTTCTATGTTATCACATGTGTACATTTGTGTGGATACAACCATCATCACAAAGATATCTATTCTATCACCACAAAGATCTCACTCATGCCATACCCATTCTCCCTACTATACCTACTATACCTACTATCCCTAGCAACCACTAATCAGTTCTCCATCTCTACAGTTGGGTCATTTTGAGAATGTTATATAAATGGAATCATACAGTCTGTGACCTTTTGAGATTGGTTTTTTCCCATTCACATAATGCCCTTGAGATCCATCCAAGTTGTTGTTTGTATCAATAGTCCCTTCTTTTCACTGCTGCATGGTACTCCATGGAATACATTTACTATACCTTGCTTATTCATTTGCCCATTAAAGGACTTTTGCATTGTTTCCAGTTTTGCACTACTTCAAATTAAGCTGCTATGAGCAATCCCATATGCGTTTTTTTTTTTTTGTTTGTTTGTCTGTTTTTTGAGACAGAGTTTTGCTCTGTTGCCCAGGCTAGAGTGCATTGGCGCGATCTCGGCTCACTGCAAGCTCCACCTCCCAGGTTCACGCCATTCTCCTGCCTCAGCCTCCCGAGTAGCTGGGACTACAGGCGCCCGCCACCACGCGCTGCTAATTTTTTGCATTTTTAGTAGAGACGGGGTTTCACAGTGTTAGCCAGGATGGTCTTCATCTCCTGACCTTGTGATCCACCCACCTCGGCCTCCCAAAGTGCTGGGATTACAGGCGTAAGCCACCGCACCTGGCCCCATACGCGTTTTTATGCACACATAAGTTTGCATTTTTTCTGGGATAAATGTCCAAGAGTATAACTGCTGATTTATATGATAAGTGTAACTTTAATTTCTTAAGAAACTGCCAAACCATTTTTCAGAATGGCTATACATTTTACATTCCCACCAGCAACGTATGAGAGATCCAGCTTCTATGCATCCTTGCCAGAATTTGGTGGTGTTACTGTTTTTTTATTGGGCCTGTGTTAATAGGTGTGAGTGATATCTTATTATGGTCTTAGTTTGCATTTCCCTAATGGTTAGTGACATTGAACATCTTCTTGTGTGCTTATGACATGCAATGTCACCTTTGGTGAAATGTGTGTTCATGTCTCTTATACATTTTCTAATAGGATTTTTTGGTTTTTGTACTGTTGAGTTTTGAAAGTTCTTTATGTATTCTAGATAAGAGTTTTTTGTCAGCTACGTGGTTCATAAATATTTTCTCTGTCTATAATTTGTATTACATTCTCCAAACGCAATCTTTTGCAGAGCAGAAGATTTTAATTTTAATTTTAATTAAGTCCACTTTATAGATTTTTTTCTTTTATGGATTATGCTTTTGGTGCAATGTCTAAGAACTCTTCGCCAAGCTCTAGGTCCTGAAGATTTTTATTCTAAAAGTTTATAAATGTATGCTTTACACTTAAATCTATGATCCATTTGAGTTCATTTTTATACAGTTTGAGGTTTAGGTCAAGGCTCATTTTTATACCTATGGATATAGAGTTGCTCCAGCATCATTTGTTGAAAAAATGGTCTTTCCTCCCTTGAATTGTTTTTGCTTCTTTGTCAAAAATCAGTTGGACATACTTATGTGGGGTTATTTCTGGGTTCTGTATAAAATCTTATTGACTTTTGTGCCTATCTCTGCCAATTCCAAACAGTTTTGATTGCTGTAGCTATATGCTATAATAAGTCTTGAAATCAAGTAAAGTGATTCCTCCTGACTTACTTCCTATTTAAGAATTAGGTATTTTCTTCTTTTGCTTTTCTATATAAGTTTTAGAATAAGCTTATCTATATATACAAAAAAATTACTAGGATTTTGATAGAAATTGCTTAAAACTTGTTTATCAATTTGAGAAGAATTTACATCTTTACTATGTTGATTCTTCTAATCCAAGACCACAAAATATCTCTCTACTTATCTCTCTACTTATTTAGATCTACTTATTTAGATCTTTGGTTTAGATTTTTTTAAAATAAAAGAGCTAAATAAGTAGATCATGAAAACGTTAGTGTTTTATAGTTTTTAGCATAAACATCCTATATATGTTTTGTCTGATTTACTAATTATTTCATTTTTGAGCAACTATAAATATTAACATATTTGTAATTTTATCTTCCACATATTCATTGCTAGTATACAAACATAAAATTGACTTTTGTATGTTGATCTTGTACCTTGTGATCTTGTTGAATTCACTTATTAGGAGGTTTTATAAATTCCTTGGGATTGTCTACATAGACTGTGATGTCATCTGCAAAGAAAGACAGTTGTGTTTCTTGCTTTCTTATTTGTATGCCTTTTACTTATTTTTCTGGCTTTACTGCAGTGGCTAGAACTTCCAGTACTATGTAGAATAACAATGGCTTTTCCTAATTGAATACCTTTTATTTCCTTCTCCTGCCTGATTGCCCTGGCCAGAGCTTCCAACACTATGTTGAATAGGAGTGGTGAGAGAGGGCATCCCTGTCTTGTGCCAGTTTTCAAAGGGAATGCTTCCAGTTTTTGCCCATTCAGTATGATATTGGCTGTGGGTTTGTCATAGATAGCTCTTATTATTTTGAAATACGTCCCATCAATACCTAATTTATTGAGAGTTTTTAGCATGAAGAGTTGTTGAATTTTGTCAAAGGCTTTTTCTGCATCTATTGAGATAATCATGTGGTTTTTGTCTTTGGCTCTGTTTATATGCTGGATTACATTTATTGATTTGCGTATATTGAACCAGCCTTGCATCCCAGGGATGAAGCCCACTTGATCATGGTGGATAAGCTTTTTGATGTGCTGCTGGATTCGTTTTGCCAGAGGATTTTTGCATCAATGTTCATCAAGGATATTGGTCTAAAATTCTCTTTTTTGGTTGTGTCTCTGCCAGGCTTTGGTATCAGAATGATGCTGGCCTCATAAAATGAGTTAGGGAGGATTCCCTCTTTTTCTATTGATTGGAATAGTTTCAGAAGGAATGGTACCAGTTCCTCCTTGTACCTCTGGTAGAATTCGGCTGTGAATCCATCTGGTCCTGGACTCTTTTTGGTTGGTAAACTATTGATTATTGCCACAATTTCAGCTCCTGTTATTGGTCTATTCAGAGATTCAACTTCTTCCTGGTTTAGTCTTGGGAGAGTGTATGTGTCGAGGAATGTATCCATTTCTTCTAGATTTTCTAGTTTATTTGTGTAGAGGTGTTTGTAGTATTCTCTGATGGTAGTTTGTATTTCTGTGGGATCGGTGGTGATATCCCCTTTATCATTTTTTATTGTGTCTATTTGATTCTTCTCTCTTTTTTTCTTTATTAGTCTTGCTAGCGGTCTATCAATTTTGTTGATCCTTTCAAAAAACCAGCTCCTGGATTCATTGATTTTTTGAAGGGTTTTTTGTGTCTCTATTTCCTTCAGTTCTGCTCTGATTTTAGTTATTTCTTGCCTTCTGCTAGCTTTTGAATGTGTTTGCTCTTGCTTTTCTAGTTCTTTTACTTGTGATGTTAGGGTGTCAATTTTGGATCTTTCCTGCTTTCTGTTGTGGGCATTTAGTGCTATAAATTTCCCTCTACACACTGCTTTGAATGCGTCCCAGAGATTCTGGTATGTTGTGTCTCTGTTGTAATTGTCCCTGTTTGCAGACGACATGATTGTTTATCTAGAAAACCCCATCGTCTCAGCCCAAAATCTCCTTAAGCTGATAAGCAACTTCAGCAAAGTCTCAGGATACAAAATCAATGTACAAAAATCACAAGCATTCTTATACACCAACAACAGACAAACAGAGAGCCAAATCATGAGTGAACTCCCATTCACAATTGCTTCAAAGAGAATAAAATACCTAGGAATCCAACTTACAAGGGATGTGAAGGACCTCTTCGAGGAGGACTACAAACCACTGCTCAAGGAAATAAAAGAGGATACAAACAAATGGAAGAACATTCCATGCTCATGGGTAGGAAGAATCAATATCGTGAAAATGGCCATACTGCCCAAGGTAATTTACAGATTCAATGCCATCCCCATCAAGCTACCAATGACTTTCTTCACAGAATTGGAAAAAACTACTTTAAAGTTCATATGGAACCAAAAAAGAGCCCGCATCGCCAAGTCAATCCTAAGCCAAAAGAACAAAGCTGGAGGCATCACACTACCTGACTTCAAACTATACTACAAGGCTACAGTCACCAAAACAGCATGGTACTGGTACCAAAACAGAGATATAGATCAATGGAACAGAACAGAGCCCTCACAAATAACGCCGCATACCTACAACTATCTGATCTTTGACAAACCTGAGAAAAACAAGCAATGGGGAAAGGATTCCCTATTTAATAAATGGTGCTGGGAAAACTGGCTAGCCATATGGAGAAAGCTGAAACTGGATCCCTTCCTTACACCTTACACAAAAATCAATTCAAGATGGATTAAAGATTTAAACGTTAGACCTAAAACCATAAAAACCCTAGAAGAAAACCTAGGCATTACCATTCAGGACATAGGCGTGGGCAAGGACTTCATGTCCAAAACACCAAAAGCAATGGCAACAAAAGCCAAAATTGACAAATGGGATCTAATTAAACTAAAGAGCTTCTGCACAGCAAAAGAAACTACCATCAGAGTGAACAGGCAACCTACAACATGGGAGAAAATTTTCGCAACCTACTCATCTGACAAAGGGCTAATATCCAGAATCTACAATGAACTCAAACAAATTCACAAGAAAAAAACAAACAACCCCATCAAAAAGTGGGCGAAGGACATGAACAGACACTTCTCAAAAGAAGACATTTATGCAGCCAAAAAACACATGAAAAAATGCTCATCATCACTGGC
The DNA here is from genome assembly GCF_000001405.40 of Homo sapiens. Classification (NCBI taxonomy): domain Eukaryota; kingdom Metazoa; phylum Chordata; class Mammalia; order Primates; family Hominidae; genus Homo; species Homo sapiens. The sequence goes on along the minus strand of NC_000020.11, from coordinate 4,387,278 downwards.
CATCAGAGAAATGAAATCAAAACCACTATGAGATATCATCTCACACCAGTTAGAATGGCTATCATTAAAAAGTCAGGAAACAACAGGTGCTGGAGAGGATGTGGAGAAATAGGAACACTTTTACACTGTTGGTGGGACTGTAAACTAGTTCAACCATTGTGGAAGTCAGTGCGGCGATTCCTCAGGGATCTAGAACTAGAAATACCATTTGACCCAGCCATCCCATTACTGGGTATATACCCAAAGGACTATAAATCATGCTGCTATAAAGACACATGCACACGTATGTTTATTGCGGCATTATTCACAATAGCAAAGACTTGGAACCAACCCAAATGTCCAACAATGATAGACTGGATTAAGAAAATGTGGCACATATACACCATGGAATACTATGCAGCCATAAAAAATGATGAGTTCATGTCCTTTGTAGGGACATGGATGAAACTGGAAACCATCATTCTCAGTAAACTATCGCAAGAACAAAAAACCAAACACCGCATATTCTCACTCATAGGTGGGAATTGAACAATGAGATCACATGGACACAGGAAGGGGAGTATCACACTCTGGGGACTGTGGTGGGGTGGGGGGAGGGGGGAGGGATAGCATTGGGAGATATACCTAATGCTAGATGATGAGTTAGTGGGTGCAGCACACCAGCATGGCACATGTATACATATGTAACTAACCTGCACAATGTGCACATGTACCCTAAAACTTAAAGTATAATAATAAAAAAAAAAGAATAACAATGGCTTATATCTTTTGCAAAATTTAGAATTTTTCAGCTATTACTTCTTTGAATACTTTTCCAGTCCTACTCTATTTCTCTTCTCTGCACAAATTTATAAACTTTTTTATGTTCCTGCATATTCCTGAAGCGCTGTTCATTTTCTATTTGCTCTCTGTTGTTCATAACGAGTAATTTCTATGGTTCTAGCTTCAGTTTCACCAATTCTTTGCACTGCCCTCTTCATTCTGCTGTTGAGCCCATCCTTGAGTTTTTTTATTTCAGTTATTGTAAATTTTAGTGCTGAAATTTTCATTTTGTTCTTCTTTATGTTTTCTATTTCTTCGCTGACATGTACTTTTTCTTTGCTGAAACTTTTTTTATTTGTTTCAAGCATGTTCATAATTGCTCACTGAAGTATTTTATGACGTCAAATACCACATAATTCTAACATCTGTGTCACTTCAGTGTTGGGATATGTTGATTGACTTTTCTCATTCAGTTTGAGATATTTGTGGTTCCTAATACAATGAGCGTTTGTTTGTTTGTTTGTTTTGTTTTGTTTTTGAGACAGAGTTTTGCTCTTGTTGCCCAGGCTGGAGTGCAGCGGCTTGATCTCGGCTCACTGCAACCTCTGCCTCCCAGGTTCAAGCGATTCTCCTGCCTCAGCCTCCCAAATAGCTGGGATTACAGGTACCCACCACCACGCTTATGCCCAGCTATTTTTTTGTATTTTAGTAGAGACGGGTCTTTGCCATGTTGGCCAGGCTGGTCTCAAACTCCTGACCTCAGGTGATCCACCCACCTCGGCCTCCCGAAGTGTTGGGATTACCGGCATGAGCCACCGCACCTGGCGGTGAGTGATTTTTTAAAATTGATCCTAGACATTTGTGGTACTTTCTTTTGAGGCTCTAGATCTTATTTAAATCTTGTGTTTTAGCCGATCTCTGCTGACACCACTCTGGTAGATGAACACAATGCCACCTCCGTACTCCCAGACGGGGTTGGAAGGCCAGGCTCTTCACTCAGCCTCCAATGACACCTGGGTGGAGAGGCAGGCCCCATTAACATCAGGTTGAGGTGGTGTTAGGCTCTCCACATGGTCTCCACTGACACTGTGGGAGTGGGCAGTATCATTACTACTAAGCAGAGGTAAAAGTCCTGAATTCCTAAGAGGTGTCTTCTGATACCATATTAGTGGGGAGGGACAGAGATGCTTTGATATTGCCAGGTACAAGTGGCTTTCCGCATGATATCCACTGACAACGTAGAGGAGAGGAGCTGTTAACATCCATATGGTATCTCGTGAAACATGATAACACCAAAATGGCTGGAGCATCTCACAACAGCCCTGGGAGGGTGGAAGTGTAGGCTCCCCACTGGAACCTTTCTGGCAGTGGTAGGAACGGGATGCAGATTTTTTGTTAGTTTGTTTTTCCTGTGGTTTGGGCAGGAGTAGGACTGCTGCTGCCTAAAAGTTTTCTGTCTTTCTAGGCTGCCTCTTTCCTGGGCTTTGGCTGGGTAGAGTAAGCCTTCCTGGAGGCTTTATTTATCTGTTTGTTGGTATTTCCAGGTGTTAGCTTCTTCAGTGTGTAGCCCGGGATATACAGGGCAAAATGAAAACAAAGGAAACTCATTACCATGTTTTTCCCCAGGTCCTGAGCTCCCTAGCCAATCTGCCTCCTTCTCACTACTTTTCAAAGCCTCATGTTTGTTTTATATATAATGTTCAGAGATTTTAGTTAGTGGGAATTACAGAAAAAAAACATATATTCTCCATCTTCCCAGAAGTACAAGTCCCAGACTGAATTTTAACAAGCAAAATCATGCTATTAATATATGCTATTTAAAGGATATACCTAAAAAGTATAATAGTCATACAAATGCAAACACCAAATGACACTGACTTGAAAAATAAAGAAAAAAATTGGCAAAATTTCAATGCAAAAATTGACAAATCCACATCCAGAGATGGTACTTATAAACACCTTGCTCTCAAAAACTAATTGATCAAGCAGACAAAAATATTGTAGGGATTTAGAAAAGTGATCCACACAATTATAGCACTTGGTAAGTGGGTATACAGAATGCAGCATCCAACCTTAGTGCATATACCTTCCATTTAATCATGCTAAGAACAGGCACTCAAGAAGCATTCATTGTCCACAGGCTCAGAAATCTCAACCAATTCTAAAGAGTGAGTAGCAGATACATAAATTTATCTGATCAAAATACAATTAAAATAATGATAAACAAAAACAAATCATTCAAAACAAGAAAGAAGCTCGTTATGTTTAGACACTAAGAGGCACGGTTCTAAAGGATTTGTTGCTTAAGAGGAAAGAACCACAAAAATCATGACAACAGAAGAAAGCAAATGTGAATAATGCAACAAAACTCCGGAACTGATTGATTCTCTCTGGGGCTTAGCCATTCTTTTTATCAGAGGGTGAGTCAATATGTCTTTTTTGTCTTTATTCTGGGAAACTTCCCGATCTTATCTTCAAGTTCAACTATTAAATATTTGTTTTTATTTTGCAAATCACAAATTTAACTTCCAGAAATTATTTTGTTGTTGTCGTTGTTCCTTGATTGTTCCATTCAAGTAGCAACTTGCTGTTATGTACATTAAAGCTACAACATCTTGTTAAATCTATCTGTTAATTTTAATTTGAGTGTTGTAGAGATGTGGTATTTTGCAGATCATTTTGTAAACTGAATTGTTTGTTTTCTCAGACATCTGTTACATCTGCTTTCCTGAGTTTTAATTTTCCTCTTGCTAGTTTTCTTCACATTGTCTTAGTTTAGGTACCCCTAGAAGAAGCATTTAAGACAAAGATGTGAGTGCAAAACTAGGTCATTTGTTAACTATTCACCTGTTGAAAAACATCTGGGCTGATTGCTGTGTAAACATAAGTTTTCATTCTCTGGGATACATTCCCAAGAATACAATTGCTGGGTTGTATGGTAATGGCATGTTTAATTCTTTAAGAAATTGCCACACAGTTTTCCTATGTGGCTAAACATTCTACATTCCCACCAGCAATATATGAGTGCTCTACTTTCCCTGCCTCCTTTCCAGAATTTGGTAGTGTTGGTATTTTTAATTTTAGCCATTCTGAGAGGTTTGTAATCATACCTTATTGTGATTTTAATTTGCTTTTCCCTTGTAGCTAATGTTAAACATCTTTTCATATGCTTATTTGCCATCTGTATATACTCTTTGGTGAATTTCTTTACTTCTGTTGCCCACCTAATTGAATTTTTTTTACTGTTAAGTTTTGAAAAATTTTTAAAATTCTTAATGCTGTACTAGTTCTTTGTTGGACAGGTGATTTGCAAGTATTTTTCTCCCAGTCTCTAACTTCTTTTTTTATCCTCTTTACATGGGTTTTCACGGAGCAAAGGTTCTTGACAACTATATATTTAGTACTTTTATCTTTCTAAACTCTGTGTAATCTTTTGAGAGTTAACTTTTTTCACTTAATATTTCCAAGATTCATCAAATTGTAGCCATACTACCTTTATGTTGACAGCTGTATATTTCATTGTGTGAATATGCTCCAGTTTATTCATCTAATTCCCAATTGTGGGCATTTGTGTTGTTTCTAGGCTCTTGTTTCTATGAACAATGTTACATTCTTATTTGTACTTTCTTCTGTACAGACATAATGTTTCCTATTGGCAGTGACTAGGAGTAGAATAGCTCATTCAAAGGGTGTGTGAATTTTAAACTTTTGAAGGTAATGCCAAAGTATATTCCAAATTGGTTACATTAATTTACACTCTCACCATCTGTGGAGCTATATCCATTCTGATATTTTATACCATCAGACTTTGTAATTATTACCAATTAAATAATGCCTCATTTTGGCCTTGTGGCTCTCGTAGAGTCATCACAAGGCTAAGCAACTCGTCATATACTTGTTGGGTTCATTTGAGTCCTCTCCATGCATGCCTGTTCCTATCTCTTTAATACCTTTCTGTTGAATTTATGCTCTTCTTCCTGATCTGCAGAAGTTCTTTATATATTTTTGATAACGGTCCTTCACCATATAATGTGCATTGCAAATATCCGCTTCCAGTTTGTGTCTTGGCTTTCAGTTTCTTGAAAACATCTTTTAGTGAGCAAACATTCTTATTTTTAGTATTATAGAATTTATCAATTTTATAATAGATTCTTTTTGTATCTTATTTAAGAATCTTTCCTTACCAAGGACTTAAATATATTTACTAGATTTTCTACTAAGACTTAAACATTTTTGGGTTTGACAGTTAAGTTCTTTATTCACCTGGAGTTGAATTTTGCATATGATATGAGGTAAAGATCCAATTTCACATTTTTCCAAGTGAATAAAAATGTTCTACCATACTTCACAGCACAGGACAATTTCCTCCAGCCCGAGTAGCTGGGGAGACTGGATCCTTCCCCCAAACCAACGGTGGAATTGCCACAAATGAGAGGAAATTGGGGGTAGTGAGAAATTATTAACTGGGGAGACACAGGTATTAGAAGAAAGCCAAAAAGGGCCTGGCACCATAGATGGGAAAACAGGCTGAGAATGGAGTTTTTAAAGCTATGTTCTTGCCTTTTCCCACAACGTTCTAGATAAACCATTATCTGCTCCATTTTCCGTAAGGAAGAAAAATGTCAGAAACAGCCCAGTGTGGGTACCAGGAAGTATTATTATAGCACCATTCAAGCCTGGCTGAAGGAGAGAACAGACTACAACCAGCATAAACATAGAAGGGGTCATTTTTTCGGGAAGATACCCTTTACCAGCCCTGTTCACCCTCGTTTCCAAACTCCACCATGCCCCAAAGGTAGAATGACTGTGATCTACACATAACATTCTTGGAAAAGGTAAGTTCTTGTGAATGACATGGAGGGAGGTAGCTGAGTTGGTGGCAAACAGAAAAATCTCATTTCAGATAGATAGTAGCCCCAGTGGCTCTCTACTCTGAAGGAGGTTCCCACTTCTAACTCCCTCTCACTTCACTCCCAGGGCTTGGACTTTAGCCCCTTTCTCCATGAACACTTTAGTAGCCAAACCAGCTGATACTGGAAGCTGAAGTGTTTCTTAATCTTAGCTGCAGAAAAGAATCACCTGGAGAGATTTTTTTTAAAAAAAACCTGGATGTCCAAGTCACACTCAGAACAATTAAATCAAATGTATGAGGATGGGATCCAGGTATCAGTATTTTTTTAAAACTCCCATGTGATTTCGATGTACAGACAAGGTTAGGAACCCTCAGTGAGGATTATATGCCCACAAAGAAAAATACCATGCTAGCTGAGGACTGCTACTACCTCTATAAGAGAATACACACTAAACAACCCATAAAAAGCAAAGCAAACCAAAGTACTGCAACTATAAATCTAAAAGAAGAATCAGTAGAAATGCCAAGTATGAAAAAAATGTAATAACTGAAATAAAGAACTCAATAATGGGTTGAACAGCAGAATGAAAACAATGGTGTAATGGATTAATGTGCTCCAAGGTCAGGATGAAGAACAAGTCAAAACACATGGAGAGTCGGGAGCAATGTAAAAATACACATAAAAAGGTAAGAAATATAGCACATAGAGGTGTAGAATGAGTTCTAGAAAGAGAGAGAAAAATAAAGAAATGTGATTGTTAAAAAATAATGATCAAGAAGTTCCCAGAATTAAAGATCCCTTTCAGGTTGAAAGGGATCATAGAGTGCAAAATAGAAGATATAATAATAATAATAAACACTTAGAAGCATTATTGTCAAATTTAAAAACCCCAGAGACAAAGGGAGTAACATAAAACCTTCTAGAGAGCAATGGCAGCCCATCCACGTAAGAAAAATTATCAGATTGATATCACTAGCAATGCTAGGTGCAAGAAAACAACAGAGTAATCATTTCTTCCAATTTGGGATGTGTTAACTTTGTTCAGTTTATAAAGAACATCTTCCAAAAAGCCACATCACAATTAGTGGAGAAAATTTACATGCACTCCCTTTAGAGTGAGAAAAAGACAGGGATGGCTACTATTACTACTGCTTTCAACACAGTACTGGAGCTGCAGGCTTCCACAATAACAAAGGAAAAGGAATCAAAGTGTAAGGATTGGAAGATACAAGACAAAATTTTCATTGTTTACAGATGATATGGAAACCTAAAATATTCAACAAACTAGAGCTCAGGAAAGTTACTGGACACAACTTTCTAAGTTTCAGCTTACAAATACCAGTGAGTTCCTCTACACCAGCAAAATCCAACGAGGTCCTACAATCACGTTTCAGAAGCACAATACCATTGAAACTACCAAGAGACACTGTACTATACCTAAGATTTAACCTAATGAAAAGAGCGCATGAGATCTTTGTGCACAAATTATTGTAACTGTATTAAAAATATAAAAGAATATTTCATAAACTGAGAAGGTAATATTCACTATTTGGAAGCCATAATATTAAAGAGATAATTAATTTATAAGTTTGGTCGCTTTTTTTTTAATTCCTGCAGAGATTTTTTGAAGATCTTGATAAAATCATTCTTGAATTTATATAGAAAAATAAACGCTCACGAAAAGCTAAGTCAATTTTAAAGAAGAAAAGCGAAAGGACTTATTTTACCAATATTAAGACAGGTTAAAGTTTAGTATTAAGAACAACAACAATAACTGCAAAGTACTGGTCTAAGACCAGACAAAATAATCAACAGATCAGAAATGAAGTTCAAAACCAAATGCATCTATATATGGAAACTTAAAACGTGATAAAGATAGCATCAGAAATCAGTGGAGAAAAATGAATTCTTTAGTGCAGTGGTTCTCAAACTGCAGGTGAACCAGTCTTTCCTAGTGGGGTGGGGGCAGGGGCGGGGTCGTGGGGTGTTAAATGCAGTTGCTGGGCCCCATCCTGAGAATTTATAATTTGGCAGGAATGGGGTGGAATGCAAGAATTTGCAAGTTCCCAAGTGATGGCCCATGCTGTTGATCCAGTTAACACTTGAGTAGACAATATCAGGAAATCTGTCTCACTATATAAAGAAAGTAAATCCCATGCCTTACACAAGGGTGAAATTTAGTTGGATGACAGATGTAAAAATGAAAGGAAAAAGGACAAAACTAATAGAAGAAAATGCAGGTGGTGTTGACTGAATTCTGCCTGCTAAAATGATAGGTTGAATTCCTAAGCCTTGGTTCTTGTGAATGTGACTTTATTTGGAAATAAGATCTTTGCAGATATAATTAAGCCAAAACGAGGTCTAACTTGATTAGAATGAGCCCTACCCCAATAGAACAGGTGTCCTTATAAGAGTAAAAACAGAGAGAAAGACACAGACACATGAGGAGGGCACACCATGGCACCGGAGGCAAAGACTGAAGTGATGCGTCTACAACAAAAAACACTCAGATTGCTCACAACATCGGAACCCAAGAGGAGGGCTTGGAACTGAGTCTCCCCTAAAATCTTCAGAGAGAGCAAGTCCCCACCAACACCTTGACTTCTAGCTTCTAGAACTATGAAAGAATGAAATTCTATTGTTTAAGCCACCCAGTTTATTATAGCAGCCCTAGAAAAACTAATACGGTGGGAGAATATTTTTGTGGGCACGGTGGTGTGCACCTGTGGTCCCAGCTATTCAAGAAACCAAGGCGGGAGGATAAAAATCTCAGAAACCACTACTAAAGAACTTATTCATGTAACCAAATGCCACCTGTTCCCCAAAAACCTATTGAAATAAATAAATGGAAAGAGGGTAAGGTGGAAAGATAACCTGAGCCTGGGTAGCTGAGGCTGCAGTGAGCCATGATCTTGCCATTGCTCTCCAGTCTGGGTGACAGAACAAAACCCTGTCTCAAAAAAAAAAGAAAAAAAAATGTAAGGGCTTTTGCACACACAAAAAAGCTATGATAAGAAAAGTTAAATGATGAGTGACATTCTGAGTGTTTATAAATGTGCAAAGTCTAAATCTAGTTGAGGATCACTGCCTAGGCTGTATACTGAACACCTGAAAAACATCGAAGGGTCTGGAAATATAAGAAGCTAAAAGTAAGGAAAAAGTACTGGAGACAGAATATGCATTCCCACAGGTTTCAAAAATAATCAATGAATTTTCTTTATATTCATCATCCCTTTATTGCTTTATGCAGAGATTCAGAACTTGTGAGTTTCTCGTCCTATAGAAATAGTTCCCTAAAGCAGTGGTTCCCAAAGTGTGGCTCCCAGGCAGGGCAAGAGTATCAGATCATCTGCAAATTTGTTAGAAAAGCAGTTTCTGGGGCCCACCTCGGACCCAGCAATCTGAATCAGCAAACTGCGAGGCCCCGGAATCTGTGCTTTGACAAGCCTTCCAGGGATTCTGTTGGATGCTCCAGTTGGAAGACCACATAATGCTATCAAGTACAATTAATTCAAGTATTCTGAGGGTCCCCTGCAACATACACCTTTTATCTAGATACCAAAGTGATCACTTCTCAGCTTAGTATCTGTCACAGTAAGTACTCTTTAAATGGGTACCTTTAGAAATATTTCAAAATAGGACATGTATAAACAACAACATTTTAAAGAAAACCAAAAGTAAGGTAAAATTTTTCATTTGGTCATAATGACAAAATTTCTAATTGTTTATCCTCTTTTCTCTTTAGATCTTCCAGAACAAAACCCCATCACTCTTGGCACTGAAACTCTTCAGCTCACAAGTGGTGGTGTAGGCCTTTTTTCTGGCTTTTTCCAAAGCCTTTCTATTCTTTTGTACCCCTCTGCTACTGCCACTTTTATCTCCTCTATTTTTCCATTATTTATTTATTTTTCAAATTGAGTCAGGGTCTCGTTCTTCACCCAGGCTGGAGTGCAGTGGCACAATCTCGGCTCACTGCAACCTCCTCCTGCCTCAGCCTCCCAAGTAGCTGGGACTATAGGCACACACCACCATGCCCAGCTAATTTTCGTATTTTTAGTAGAGATGGGGTTTCCATGTTGGTCAGGCTGGTCTCAAACTCCTGCCCTCAAGTGATCCGCCCACCTCGGCCTCCCAAAGTGCTGGGATTACAGGCGTGAGCCACCATGCCTGGCTATTTTTCCATTGTTTTTTAATTCCATACTTGTAAAAGTTTAAAAGACATTTGGGAGATTAGGTGATAAAAGATGATAAAATGCCTGTTATCTCCTGTTGCTATCATTTAATAAAAGAAACAAAAAATTAGGAAGGCTCTAACCTTAGCATGAACAGTCCTTCACAAGGAAAGACAACTGGCACCTACACTCACATTTAAAAATGAAAATATTTCAGTTATTTGAAAAAGAAGTTATACAACATTTTCTCATTTTGTACTATTTGGATATAATTGTTTCTTTAATACAAGTCAGTTACAGTAATATACTGGGTAGTGAATTACACAGTAGTTCTTTAAGAATTGCTTTAAGAAGTAATGTCCTACTTCTTTAGGTCAATTGTTTAGTTTTGACCTAAAGAAGTAGGAAATTCACCCGGGCATGGTGGCTCACGCCTATAATCCTAGCACTTTGGGAGGCCAAGATGGGTGGATCACGAGGTCAGGAGTTCGAGACCAGCCTAACCAACATGGCGAAACCCCGTCTCTACTAAAAATACAAAAATTAGCCAGGCATGGTGGCATGCACCTGGAGTCCCACCTACTCAGGAGGCTGAGGCAGGAGAATCTCTTGAACCCAGGAGGCGGAGGTTGCAGTGAGCCGAGATTGTGCCACTGCACTCCAGCCTGGGCGACAGAGTGAGAATCTATCTAAAAAATAAAAAAAGAAGTAGGAAATTCTTTTAGCCATTGTCAAAACTGAGTTTCAAATAGAAATAAATGTTGATGATGGTCTGGGCGTGGCTCATGCCTGTAATCCCAACACTCAGGGAGGCCGAGGCAGGAAGATCGCTTGAGCCCAGGAGTTTGAGACCAGCTTGGGCAACAAAGTAAGACCCTATCTCTACAAAAAGAAAAAAAATTTAAGTTAGCCAGGTGTGGTGGTGCATGCCTGTAGTCCCAGCTACTTGGGAGGCTGAGGTGGGAGGATCACTTGAGCCCAGGAGGTTGATGAAAAAGATGGAATCAGTGCTTGAAAGCCATCTTAAAGGCATCTCACACAATTTGGAATATTTTGGATGTCCCCAGAGAACTGGGAACAATAGCCCAGTGGTCCTTCTGCCTTTTCCGAATATGACTGAGAACAGAGAGTGCAGGGGCAAGCCTGATAACCCATTTGAGCAGCTTCTGAAACAGATCTTCAGGGTTCTCCTACCCTCCTACTGCCCAAGGCAGCTGTGTGTCTTGGGGGCTTCTTTGCAGGAGGCAGAGTGCTCAGTATTGCCTCTGGGAGGGAAGCTGCAGGTCTCCAGCAAGCCTAAGGACATTTGGAAACCACTCTTCCATTCAATGAAGGCTGCTTTATGTGGCTGCCTCCAAATAAATCAGGGGTTAGAACATAAGCTTCCTCCTGTCATGACTTGACTTAAATACACATCCGTAAGTAGACACATACTTCTGTCTTCCTCCTCTTCCCACCCACCCACAGCTGAGACAGCCCTGGGCAAAACTCCAGCACGCCTGCCTTTCACATACCGCTTCCTATGCTATATTTCCAGAAACTATTTTCTCAAAGAACCTGAAGCATTTCACCCCAGAACAGTCTAAGCACGGTTTAGACTGCAAGTTTCTGAACGAAGCTTTAAAGTGGGTTTGTAGCAACATTACAGAATGATCTCCCAAACTGCCTTATAATTGTCATTTTGATCAAAGGGAAACCAGAGAGACATTAGCCAGGAACACAGAGAGTGGGCGAAACGAAGAGAATCTTTAAGGCCTAATTTCCATTGCCCAGTTTTGAGTTTGAAACACCTGACCCAGCTGTATTATTTTAGACCAGCTCAGTTCACACCTTTTTAAACAGTTTGTACTTCCCTCAGTGTAACAAACAACCCAATCTTCTTCACAGAGAGCCCTTGAAACACAAAGCTTCTCAGTTCTCCCTCGGAGGACAGTCATTTTCTATTCAGTTTTTGCCATGTAGGGAAAAATGATCACAACCCTAGAAATTACCATTGTTGAGTGCCAGTGTCATGCTGGGTGTTAATTGGGGCCTGGGGACAATGGCTACACCTGGACCATGGCAGGTGGGCAAGGAGAGCTGATCTCAGAGCCCAGCTCACAGGTCCCACCCTGCTGCAAAGAGCAGCTCCAAGGAGCTTGGCTCCAGGAGGCTGTGGGGAGTGCGTTCCCAATCTCCAGGGTAGTTTTAGTTTTATTTATTTAATTTTTTTTATTTATTTACTTTGAGACGGAGTCTCACTCTGTCACCCAGGCTGGAGCACAGTGGTGCGATCTCAACTCACTGCAACCTCCACCTCCTGGGTTCAAGCAATTCTCCTGCCTCAGCCTCCTGAGTAAATGGGATTACAGGTGCCCGCCACCATGTCAGGCTAATTTTTTTTATTTTTAGTAGAGACGGGGTTTCACCATCTTGGCCAGGCTGATCTCGAACTCCTGACCTCATGATCCACCCACTTCGGCTTCCCAAAGTGCTGGGATTACAGGCATGAGGCAGCATGCCCGGCCATGATAGTTTTATTTTTAAATCATTAGGCACACAAGACACTTGTGTGTTTCCCGGCATACTCCTAAAACACTTAGGGCAACCTAAGTATAAAGGAGTAAGTTTCTCCTTACTTACAAGAAGACACAATGAGCTGTTAAAAGCTAATTTTATGACTATTAAAAAATACATGACTTTAACAATGAATGCAGAGTCACAGATTCCAGCACCTCTGTGGTCCAGACAGATGCTGGAACTATGTGGCAGAGCCAGGTGTAAGACAATGGGTCAGTCCCACACCCTGATATGTGACCAGTAAGCCAACATCAGTTGTCACTTAGGGCTAGTACTTTGGGATTTGAGCATTTCAAGTCCTAAAATAGCCCCCACCTCCACCATGGTTACACCCACCCCCATTTCTGGAACCTCTGCTGCTTTCATTATATCTTTTGAGCACTCTCTTCAAAAGGAAAGAGGGAAAGGAGTAAGAAAAGGTTGGAGGTAGACGGCATACTGAGATAGTTATAATGGTTGCATTTTATCAGAGACAGAATGGCAACTGTAAGGGCAGAAAGGGCATGATCCCTTTCCTCCCCATCGTAAGGGTCACAGCCAACACCCCTATCACAAAGATGGGATAACAAGAGAAAATCATAACAAATTTATTTGATCATAATTTTACATGACACAAGAACCTTCAGAATAAAGACCCAGAGATACAGGGGAAGCTATTCATTTTTATGCTTAGGTTCAATGAAGAATGGACAGGCCAGCTGTGTAGATTGAACAAAAAGGGTGTGGTCTAATGCTTCCAGACTGAGTGGGAAAAACCAGCAAGGCCTGCCTGTTCAGATTCTTCTTGGCCTCTCTGCATAGCATTCTTTCCTCCTGGGGATGGGGCAGGACCCTCTCTGGAATGAGGGTCTTATGACCTACAATCAAACAAGGCAAATCAGAGAATTTCTTTATGGCCAGTTCTTACACAGAAAGGTGTGGAAAGGTTAAAGTGACATTTTCAGGTTTTATGGCTGGCTTTGGGGAAAAGGGATTCTGGGTTGTTGTGGTTTTTTTTTTTCTGCACTTTAAAAATGTATTTTTAATTGACAAATAATTATATATATTTATGGGATATGAGGTAATGTTTTGATATATATACATGGTGGAATGAGTATATCAAGCTAATTAACATATCCATCACCTCAGATACTTATCATTTTATCTAGTGAGAATGTTTAACATCTATTCCTTTAGCAACTCTGAAATGTACAATACATTATTGTTAATACAGTCACCATGCTATGCAACAGATCTTGAAACTTCTCCTGTCTAACTGAAACTTTGTACCTTTGACTAATGTCTTCCATTTCCCCATACACCTCCACACACACACTTCAGCCTCTGCTAATCACCATTCTTCTCTTTACTTCTGTAAGTCCAACTTTGTATAAGGTCCACATATAAGTAAGATCATGTGGTATTTGTCTTCTGTGCCTGGCTTCTTTCACTTAGCATAATGTCCTTCACGTTCATCTGTGTTGTTGCAAATGACAGAATTTCCTTCTTTATAAAGGCTGAATAGTATTCCACTGTGAATATATACCATATTTTTATCCACTTATACACTGCTGGACACTTAGGATGATTCCATATCCTGGCTACTAGAAAATGTGTCCCATATTTAAGAACTTGGGAAGGGAAGGCTTGGGAGAGCCAGCGCTCTAAAACATGAAAGGATTTCCTTATGGACTGAAGAGAACGCTTATTCTAATTCTTACACAGGTGGACATGGGCTTTCGGGCTGCAGTGAACATAGCAGTTCAGAGATCCCTTTGACATACTGATTTCATTTCTTTTGGATCTATATCCAGATGTGGGATTACTGGATTCTATGGTAATTCTATTTTTAGGTTTTTTTTTTTTTTTGAGGAATCACCATACTGTTCTTCATAACGGCCATAATAATTTTTATTCCCACCAAGAGTGTGCAAGTGTTCCCTTTTCTCCACATCATTACCAATACTTTTATCTTTCATCTTGTTGATAATAAACCTCACATTCTAACAAGTATGAGGTGATATCTCATTGTGATTTTAATTTGTATTACTCTGGTCATTAATGATGTAAATTAATAATCACAAACCTGTTGATCTTTTGTATGTCTTCTTTTAAGAAATATCTATTCAAGTCCTATGACCTGCCATGGGGAAGAGAGGGTCTGGTTTCTGTGGCTTTCCTTGAGGGCTGAGGGGGCTGGAGAATGAGGGGTGAGAGACAGGAGGGCAGAAGATCAGAAAGAAACTTTGCTTTTGAGGCTGCATTTGAAGCCTTCACTTTGGGATATCATTTGCTGAACCCAATACAACCCAAAGCTTTGCTCTAATGGAGGGATTTTAGGCATAGATAGCAGATGCCAGGGGAGTGGGTGACTTCTCTTGGGAGGGGAGGGCATATTTATTTGCTCCCCTAAATTCTCTGTATAATCACCAGCCACCTATTCTGCTTAAAATACTTAACTTCCAAAGTGTGGTTTTCCAGTGCTTCTCAACTTTAAGCATGCACAAAAATCACCTGGAGGGCTTTTGAACACAAAAATTACAGATCTCCTGTGATTCTGCAGGAATGGGGTAGGGCCTATGATTTGCATCTCTAACAGATTTGTCAAGGAGGATTGCTGGTCCATGGACCACATTTTGAAGAGCCCCTGATTAGGGGAGTTGGAAATTGCTTACAACTAGATGATTGGGACCATCTCTTTAATGGACTCATCTTGCACTCTCTCTCTCTCTCTACTCCTCCTTCTGCCCTTCCTTGGCTAGAATCTCACATGTTTGATTCCAGACAATTGAAAAAGGGGGCAGGCGGAAGCAGACAGCATCACATTCTGTTCTGGAATGCTGCAGCTCATCAGCAACTTTCACTGGACAGGGAGATGGTGGCCCAGCTGAGACCTATCAACAAAACAACTAAGGTCAGGGAGCATTTCTTGTGGGAAGCTTGCTACTACCAGTGGCTTCTTCCAGAAAGACTGGGCTCTATATATATCTTCAAAAATATTTTAAGCCTTCTTTCAAAAAATCAAAACTGTGGGCAGGCCAGAGAAAAGGCATAATGTCTTCTTGTTTCTAAGAAGTCATCATGTTCTCATATTGACCAGAGAGCTGGGAAAGAGGAAGTATGTTTCTAGGAAACTCCTTCAAACAACAAAATAATGAACTGAATAAAGGACTATAGTGTCCCAGGCCTGAGCAGTGGGGAGGCACCGTTCCTGCCCTGGAAAGTGGCTGTCAGTCAGGACAGAAAACTCTTGTCAAATAAAAAGGGGGTATATGTGTTCCCCTCATTGACTTCCCAAGGCACAGGAACCTTGTTTTCCATATCTTCAGGATACTTCACAATGCCTATGCAGTCTGGGCCATTTGCCATTAGCTGACATATTCAGGGCTGAATGACCTCCTAAGAAAGATGTATATCTGAGGCCACCTGATACGAGCCCCTCCAAGGGCATTCCTGAGGGGGGGTCACTGAGCCTTTGTTTGAAAGCCCCCAGAGATGAAGATCTTACAACTTCACAATCAGGGCCACCTCTTAGAACATTCTTGGATATGTTAAACTGAAAGCCCATGTCCACTTGTGCAAGAATTAGAATAAGTGTTCTCTTTAGTCCATAGGAAATCCTTTCATGTTTTAGAGGGTTGGCCCTCCCCAAGCCCTCCCTGCCCCAGTTCCTAAATATGGGACACATTTTCTAGTTCTCTCTCCTTACTGTTTCCCTGTTTTGATTCCCCTTCTCAACCATGCGGCCCTAAAGGTGAACACCAAGGGCTCACAGAATCACAGAACATCAGAGCAATACAGGTCCAGCCAGTTGTTTTGCAGTCAAGAAACACACAAGCGTACTGGAATATCCAGCCCATGGTCCTAGGCCTATGGCAAGGCTGGCTCCTAGCTCCAGGCCCAACAGAAACCCAAATCCTGCCCTTCTGCAAGGGGCCCTGCCTGACTCATGCACTGCAAGGGAGTTGCCTACAGTCTGGTTCTGGATACCAGCTTTTCATAACAGGGCTCTGAAAGGCATTAAACTTCTAAAGGCCTCATTCTCCTGTTGACTCAATTGACCCTCCCAACACCAAACCTCCTAAGATATTTTCCATGTGAACTATTTTGCACAGTTGATTTCTGTAGCATATAATTACCTCCATTCAATTTTGTCCATTTGTCCAGCCTATCAAAATCATTTTAATTCCTCAATCTGCCATCCAGGCCGGGTGTGGTGGCTCACGCCTGTAATCCCAGCACTTTGAGAGGCCAAGGCGGACAGATCACCTGAGGTCAGGAGTTTGAGACCAGCCTGGCCAACACAGCAAAACCCTGTCTCTACTAAAATACAAAAATTAGCCAGGCATGGTGGTGCATGCCTGTAATCCCAGCTACTTGGGAGGCTGAGGCAGAAGAATCATTTGAACCCAGGAGGCAGAGGTTGCAGTGAGCTGAGATTGCACCATTGCACTCTAGCCTGGGTGACAGAGCAAGAGTCTGTTTCAAAAAAAAAAAAAATCTGCCATCCAGTGATACACTATGACTTTGGCTTCAGAAGAAGGGGAGAGAAATCGTAAGTGTCTACATTGCAGGAGCTGAATTATAAGAAATCTGGAAATGCCAATGAGTTTTCTCTCTCTGAAACAATGGTGGAAAGAGCTAAGAATGGACTCCATCTCTTTTGATCCAGCAAGCATATATTCTTTGAGGGAGCCCCTCTCCCTCTCCCAGATAGTTCCAGTGGGCTGCAAATCACAGAACTCTACTCTGAACAAAAGAGTTGGTTCTGCTCAGGCTAGATTGACTGCAGCCACCCTCCCAGGAACATGGAATTTGAACGTGGAATCTGACACACATGACAGAAAGTGGCTGGAACTGAATCATGCCTGGAGCTAACCCCAAGTTCCTGCTACTGAGACCCATCTGTCATGGGCTTGGCCACATCGTTTTTCCTCTGATTCTGCAACCTTCCCTATATGTTTTCAGGTTAAAATGGATTAAAAAGAATTTGTACTAGATCTGAAAAGCGGAAGTGACTCAGCATCCGTTATTTTCCGCAGTTCCTTTCGGGTAACAGCAGCAAGAGATACGTGCTGAACTGCCAGCAGGTTCAGGCTCATCTCTCTACTCTGCTTAGGTTAGGTTTCCCCTGACTGCCAGGTCTGTAGACCAACAGCAAGTCCACCTCCAGACAAAGTCACTGACTTTGTGACTAGTTAGTGGCAGTAATCCTCCTTAGACTTCTTCCCCAGCTCCTCTTCATGGTTCCCATCTAGCACTAGCTGTAACTGGCTCCCTGATGATCCTGTAAGCTTCAACGTGTCCACCCACATCAGTGCTTCAAGAGGCCTGGTTAATGACTTTTCTCTGAACCTCTTACTCCTCTTGCTGAACCTCTCTTCCTTAGCTCCTCCTACAACTTTGTGAGGTCAAATTCCTACTACATCTCTTATTCCATAATAATCATTACAACTTTCTCCCTTCATTGAACCCTAACTGACACACTACCCAATGTCTTCCCAACATATTTCTTTTTCTTGCTAACTTTTGTCACAATTGTTTTCTGTTGCTTGCAACCAGATAACCCTGGTTGAGGACTGTTAACACTATAATTCAGGTAACCATGGCTAACATGAGCCATAGTGGACTGGCCTGGGCTGGGCATGTTGCCAACAATGATTTAGTAGAGAAATGGATTCCAAGTTCTAGAGAACAAATAAGACTGTGGACTGCCTGTGTAAGCCCCAAGGAACCTGAGTATGGAGTTTATAATTAAAGTTCAGAAGCAGTATTTCTAATTCTTTCTCACAGTGTTTTAATTATGGTCTCATTGCACGGGAGAAGTGTAGAATGAAAAAGAACTGTAGGCGAAGGATTTGCTCCTGGGGAGGTAGAGAGGGTCTTTTGTGACATTCCTCCAGAAAGTTATTCCCTGCTTCTAAATGGTGTACTTTCCCACATAGTATAGTCTCTTAATAGTCAAGACTCAGTCAGGAACAATCTGCAGGTTCAATTGGACCCCAACAGAAGATTTCACTCAAGTAAAAGTCACACGCTCGCCCTTGAGGGAGAGAGGAAGGGTGTTCCTCAATTAGCAGCTCTGATCTGGATGGTTACACCTGGAATGACCATCAACAGGCGAGGACCAGCCCTTGGTGTAAGTGGAGTAGATGCCACAAATGCAATATTACTTAAGGGGCACCCACAAGACACCCCAATAACCTGCCAATACCCTGGAAATGCCTTCAAAAGACTCACTCATTCAGACTGAATGTTGGGATCATGATGTCAAGAGTATTTTTCCCAGGAGTTAGAATGATGCCATAGGAGCCACAGTCTGCTAGGAGTTACTTCATGCTAACCTGGTGAAAGAAAACCATTTTCCTTCACCATGGTAACATTTTTTCTCAAGGATGCCTCTCCTTCACTTTTGCACTACCTCTTCCAGAGGCTTTGATAGTTTAACAAAAAATGATGCTGCCTCCAAGGCCAAGCTCTTCTGACAGAGACTTCAGGCACTGAGAGCAGCCGAAGCGAGCATTTTAGTAGTACCCTTTGCTGGCTCCCATAGCTATTCCTGCAAAACTTATTTTCCTACAGGGCCCTGATGGTTGGGGAGTTCTGGCCTTTCTTCACAAAGATACCAAAGGTCTTGGCTTTTCTCTGTCCTCTATGCACAGTCATTTATAAGGGAGGGGAACCCAACTAAAGCCACATCAAGGAAAATGCAACTTATGAATTAATGGAACTCAAAAGTCCAGAGGTACGTCTGAATTCCAGTCTAGCTAGATCCAGGTTTCAAGGAGATTCCAGTATCTGCTCCTTTCTCCCCATCTTTCTGCCCTGTTTCTCTTTGGGGTGAATTTCTTTTCATGCACTCTTTCTGGCAAAGATGAGTCTAGGAGCTCCTTTGGAGGTCGTAATTTACAGAGCATCTCAGAGAAGTGAGAGGCCCTTTGTCTCCCACAAACTACATCAACCCCAGAAAAGGTCTGATTGGCTGGGTTACACGGTCAATGTTCTGATTAGCCAGCTTGAAATTATGTTTCAGGGTGACAAGCCCCTCCAGCAGCACAGGGCACAGGGGAGAAGCAGGAACCAAAAGGAAGGACCTGAACTGTCAGAGTAAGAATAGATGAGCCCTTGTGACCAGAGAGACTGGCCTGATTTAGAACAACAGTGTCATTATCTTTTTTTCCTAATTAGCTGTGGAGTTTGGGATTAGTCAATCAATGTACCCTAGAGGCTCCAGACATTTGTTTTGTGTCAAAGCTATGGGCATTTGAAGATTTCCAGTGAAACAGCTTGGCTTTCAGCCTTCCTGGCTTTGACCATAATTGAAAACTGACAAGCAGAAGCCTTTTTAAACAACTTGCATTCATTATGGAATTACTCTACATAAGAGGATTACACAGTACAAAATTGTGTAATCTATCTAGGCTAAACATGCTTATCAATATCCATCCCATCCCCGCCCCCAACCGTACCTCCCTCGCCAAAACATTTCTTTGGGGTAGGGATAGGAGACCACTGTACTTCAGCCTCTGTGATGATCCAATAGTTACCTTGAGAGTGTGGACACTCGATCACTTCCTGGCAGCAACCTAGGCATCATAGACTGAATTCTTCCCAGGACTCTCACTGGAGTGAAGTCCAGAATCTGCAGCCCACAACTCGACTTTCACATGTTCAGAGAGCAGAGGGACAGCAGTCACCACTGAAGTGGAAGCAAATGCCACGAAACTATGAAACCTCCAGGTTTATACTAATCTAGTGGGAAGCTTTCTCTCTGGGATTGGTTCCCCTAGGGATGTTTCTGTCCCCACCCTTGCTCTATGAAAATCAGTGAACCCAAAGTTGTTGGTTCTAGAACTGATTCATGTATATGCTGGCCCTGCTACCTCAACCATTTGCCTATAGGTTGTATGGATTAGGCAGCCCTATGCTGCTGATTCTTATCAGATGTGGTGGTCCTCATATGGACAGTGGTAACTTTGAGTGCTGATGTTGATAAGATGCCGTGGCCAGAATTGGAGCTAAGATCATTGTCCATATACTCTCAAACTATGACTTGCTTTCTGTGATGTTAAGCTCTGGGTAAATTCAGCTTCCAAACTGACAAACTCAGGATATAGAGGACACTGAAAATACTCTGCATGATACTATAATGATGAATGCATCTCATTATACATTTGTCCAAACCCAGAGTGTACAACACCAAGAGTGAACCCGAACGTGAACCATGGACTTTGGGTGATCATGATGTATTGATGTAGGTTTATCTATTGTAACAAATGTACCACTCTGGTAGGGGATGTGGATAATGGAGGAAGCTATGTGGATAATGGGGGAGGGGCAGGAGACATAGGGGAAATCTCTGTACCTTCTGCTTAATTTTGCTTTGAACCTAAAACTGCTCTAAAAAAATAGAGTCTTCAAAACAAAATCTTAGTAGCTTAAAACAACCATTTATTACTGCTTACCACTCTCTGGGCTAGCTAGGTGGTTCTGCTGATCGGAGCTAGGTCAGCTGATCATGCATTTGCCATCCACTGTGGGCTGGGAATGGCTTTGCTGATCTTGGCTGGGCTTTCTCACCTGCCTGGGGCCTGGCCCCATTCTCTGTTCTCTCATTCTCCAGCTATCTGTCCTGGCTTGTTCATAGGGTGGTGGCAAGCTTCCAAAAGTGAGACTGCAGGCTCATAAGGCTTCTTGAGGCTTAGGCTGGGCCTGGCATGCCATCCCTTTCACTGCATTCAATTAGCCAAAGCAATCCAGGCCAGCCCAGATTCAAGGGCAGGGAAAAGAGATTCTATGTCTTGAAGGATGAAGTGCCAAGTTACATTGCAAATGGTGTAGCAGAGAACCATTTCTACAAGCAACATCCAATAAAAGTTTAGGATGTTTAGAATGTTATTGAAGACACACTTTGTTAAAAGAGGGCAGAGTCATTGTAAGGAACAGGCCTGTCTTTCACAGTCTTTCTCTCTCCAGTTTGTTGGCCACAGGCCTGAGGCTGGCTGGGTAACAGTACTTGTTTCTTTGTTTTTCTCTTTCTAGGTAAGTTCCAAGGTCTAGATTTGGGAAGAGAGAAGGCTCTACTTTGACCTCAAATTTCATCCAACTTCTTTAATTTGCCTGATACCAGAGAGTTCTGAATTTGGTGGCCTATTGGGTCTTTCCTAGCCATTGATAATGCGAATACTTTGGATTTCATTTGTTTCATTGCCCCCCATCTTGAGAGTCCAAATGAGAGAATGGATGATTCTTGGGCCCTTACCCCCAAATGTTATTAAAATTGTTTATCATCTGTCTTATCTCATCTGTAAGGACAGGAACCACATCTGCCTTTATTACCGCTATATCCCCAGCACCTAGCATACAGTGATTGCTCAATAAATATATGCTAACTAATAAACAAACTTGGCCAAAAATGCATGCTCCGATTTTGTTTTCCCTCTCAACGGTGACACGTTGACAAACATTAGAGGCAAAGTGGAAATCAAAGCCATACCTTGCTTCTGCCAAAAATATTTTGCAAAGCTTCCCTTGCCAGAGAACCCCATGTGGGAGTTTTCTCACAAAGCAATAAATAACAATTTACACCCAGCCTCCGCAGGCACATTTCATTTTACTGGCTAAATATAAATGGGTAACCACAGACTTCTTCAAGGAGAACCATGCTGTGCCTTTCCATCTTCCCTGAGCTGGGCTCTGCCCCCTGCTCTTCCTGCCTCCTCCTTCCCCAGAAACAGCCACCACGGGACCAACCACCCAGAGTCCTGGGGCTGAGGAAGGAGTAGTTCTGTCAACTGTTAATATGCTGTTGCTTTATCGCATCTTGAGGATAACATCATTTCTTAAGAGAAGGGTTATGTCTCAGAGGATCCCTCCGGGATGCCTGAAATTCTGAGTCCCCAGAAATTATGCAGAGCAGAAGATTAGCATTGCCCATGAGACACCATTGCTACATAGTGAAGAGAAAACTTCTGTTGCAGCTTTGGTGACTACTCCTCTCCTGTCACCTCCTGAAAGCATCTCCTTTGTCTTTCAAATTTTAGCTTTGGAGATTTCTCTTTAGGGAAGTTCCCCATGACCACCCCTTTCCCCATGTGGGGAAGCATCATGTGCACCCCTTTGCCCACGACCTTGACACATGACTCTTAGAATTTGTGGTGGGGTGGGCCGGGCGCAGTGGCTCACGCCTGTAATCCCACCACTTTGGGAGGCCGAGGAGGGCAGATCACGAGGTCAGGAGATCAAGACCATCCTGGCTGAGACAGTGAAACCCCGTCTCCACTAAAAATACAAAAAATTAGCCGGGCGTGGTGGCAGGCACCTGTAGTCCCAGCTACTCGGGAGGCTGAGGCAGGAGAATGGGGTGAATCCGGGTGGCGGAGATTGCAGTGAGCCGAGATCATGCCACTGCACTCCAGCCTGGGCGACAGAGTGAGACTCCATCTCAAAAAAAAAAAAGAAAGGAATTTGTGGTGGGGTGTTTGTGTCCCCCACCAGGCTTTGAGAACATCATGGGAAGTCATGTGTTATTTACCTTTGGACTCCCAGAGCCTAACACATAGCAGACCCTCTGCAAACTGTTCTGAATTAATGAATGAATGCACAAATGAATGAATACCCTACCTCATGTTCTTTGTCCCCATCATGTTGTTTAGTTATCACTGCAAGTCTACAAATAGGAATGGTTACCCCCATGTATAGAAAACAACTGGGATCAAAGATAGCAGTTCAAGTTCACCCAGCAAGTCATTGGCAAGGCTGGAATTTGAGCCCTGAGTAGTCTCACTTTGAAACCCATCCTTCTTCCCATCCCTCAAGAGATCTTCAAGCCAATTAAAAGTGTTATGGCCCCAAATCACACCCAGTAGACAGTTTTATGGCCCCAAATCCCACCCAGTAGACAGTATTGGTCTGCTATGGTGTTGCCTGAAAATCTGTTGGAAAAACTGGAAAGAAGAGAAGTGAAGAAGATGGGGAGGGATTATAGATAGGTGAGGACTAAGTTCTCTCGCTACTTGTAAGTTTATGTTAAAATGCAAATCTTGATTGGGCCTAAAAGGAAAGCTAATTATTAAAGCACAGCCAGCCACAGTGACTGATCTTATTCCCACAGACTCCTTCCACATAGTCTGCAAGCACCATGACGTCTCAAGAGCATGAGCCAAAATTCTGAGGAATAATAGCAAAACCTAGTGTAGACCAAGTAGACCCCTGCCACTTCTCCCTCCCTTGCCTGTGGCAGACATCTGTAATTGATGACAGCACTGACCGTGGATGAGGCCTCAGAACCCTTCTCAGTACAGTGCTTTAAGCAGACTCTGCTCATCTGCTAGAATATCATGCCAGACAAAATCTTCCTGCCACTCCTGCTGTGAAACACACATTGTCTTAAGAATTCAGGTGTCTGACCTAAGTGTCTATCAATGGATGATTGAATAAAGATAATGTGGTATATATACACAATGCAATACTATTCAGCCATAAAAAGAGACTGAAATTGACCAGGCAGAGTGGCTCACACTGTAATCCCAGCACTCTGGGAGGCCAAGGTGGGAGGATCACTTGAACCCAGGAGTTCAAGACCAGCCTGGGAAACATAGTGAGACCTAATCTCTACAAAATTACCCAGATATGATGGTATGCACCTGTAGTCCCAGCTACTTGAGAGGCTGACGTGGGAGGATCAATTGAGCCCAGGGGGTTGAGGCTGCAGTGAGTCAAAGTCACAACACTGCATTCCATCCTGGGTGACAGAACAAGACCCTGTCTCAAAAATTTTAAAAAAAAATGAAATTATATATTTTCCAGCAACATGGATGAAAACTGGATGTCATTATCTTAAGTAAAATAAGCCAGAACCAGAAAGTCACATATCACATGTTCTGACTCATAAGTGAGTACTAAAAAACAAATGTGTATGCATGGACAGACAGAGTGGAATGATAGCAAATGGAGACTTGGAAGGGTGAGGGGTTAAGGGAAGAGATATTGAGAAATTACCTAACGGGTGTTTTTCAGGTGATGGATACCCTAAGCGCCCTGACTTGACCACTATGCAATCTATGCCTGCAACAAAATTGCACTGTATCCTCATAAATTTATACAAAATTTTTAAGAATTGAGGTGTCTCCTGTCCCATGACTGCATAATCAGAGACAAGTAACTTACCCTATCTGGCATCATTGTTTTCATACATAAAATGGAGTTTATAATGTCTGTGCCAAAATTGATTCAGGGAAGTAGATGGCCTCAAACTGCAAAAAATGACCATGTATGCAAGGTTGAATGAGTCTATAGTATTCTGGAAAATGAGACTGACATCATTTGCATAAAACATTGACTAGAAAGTTGATAATGGTATCAAATCTACAAAGAAAAAAGATGGGAAGAAATATCAAAAACACAAGCAGGGGAAAAACTGCTAGAGAAGTAGAAGTTCTAGGGACCGCCAGGCTGAGATTAACAGACAAAAGGAGTGAGTGAGGGTTCTGAGGGTCCGGAAGAATTTGCCAGTTATTGGGGGGCAGGTCATATTTGGGGGACAGGTCGTATTTGGGGGACAGGTCGTATTTGGGGGACAGGTCGTATTTGGGGGATGGGTCATATTTGGCAGGGAAGGCGAATTTGCTTGCTAGTGCTGCTGTAACAATGTAGCATAACCTGGGGGGGCTTAAACCACAGAAATTTTTCATCTCTCAGTTCTGGAAGCTAGAGGTTCAAGATCAAAGTATCAGCAGGGTTGGTTCCATCTGAGGGCTGTGAGGAAGAATCTGTTCCATGTTTCTCCCCTGGCTTCTGGTGTTTTGCCAGCAACCTTTGGCCCTCCTTGGCTTGTAAAAGCATTGCCCACATCTTTATCTTCACTTGGTATTCTCCATGTGTGTATCTATATCCAAATTTCCCCTTTCTATAAGGACATCAGACATATTGCATTAGGGCCAACCCTAATGACCTCGTCATAATTTGATTGTATCTGCAAAGACCCTATTTCCAAATCAGGTGATATTCCAAGGTACCGAAGGTTAGGATTTCAACATATGAATTAGGGAGTGTATTAATCAGGGTTCTCTGTGGAATAGGACTGCTAGGATAGAGGTATATATGAAGGGGAGTTTATTAAGAGAATTGACTCACACGATCACAAGGTAAAGTCCCACAATAGGCCATCTGCAAGCTGAGGTGCAAGGAAGCCAGTTTGAGTCCTAAAACCTCAAAAGTAGGGAAGCCAACAGTGCAGCCTTCAGTCTGTGGCCGAAGGCCCAAGAGCCCCTGGCAAACCACTGGCATAAGTCCCAGAGTCCAAAAGCTGAAGAAGTTGGAGTCTGATGTTTGAGGGCAGGAAGCATCCAGCACAGGAGAGGGATGAAGGCTGGAAGACTCAGTAAGTCCGTTTTTCCCACCTCTTCTGCTTGCTTTATTCTAGCCATGCTGGTGGTTGATTAGACGGTGCCCACCTACACTGAGTGAGAGTGGGTCTGCCTCTTCCAGTCCACTGACTCAAACGTTAATCTCCTCTGGAAACACCCTCAGACACACCCAGAAACAATACTTTGCATCCTTCAATCCAATCAAGTTGACAGTCAATATTAACCATCATGGGGGGAACACAGTTCAACCCATATCAGGGGACTGTAGACAGAACCACTTAGCATTTGGACCCTCCTTTTCCCCTGTCTGTGCCAAGTACCAGGAAAAGGCAACTACACCTGAACCAAAGCAGGAAATTGCACACGAGAGCCAGAGAAACACAAAGGCCCAGGTGGCTACTGACTCCTCAGAGGAAGGGGAGAGGCCCACTCTCATGAAACAAACTTTGGCAGATTCCACACAGAAATGAGTCCAATCTGCCTTAACCCACAATCACCAGTGGAAGCCTATTAATCACAGGAACCATTTTAGAAAATTAAAACCAGCCATTTAATGTTAATAATTGATTCAGATAAGCAGGGATTACTCCAGGCATGCAATGATGTTTCAACGGTTGGAAATCTATTAATGTAATTATATAATATACTAAGAGTAGGAGAGAATATCTATAGATATCTCAGTAGATGCACGTGATCAATTGCTTTCTTCCCAGTTTTTCATTCTCACCCCTTCCACCCTTTTTGCTACATCCTTTGAGTTTCTTCCAACAGAAGCAGAGTAACCTCCCCCAATTTCACTGCTGTTGGGCTTAGCCATGGAACTTGCTTTAGCCTGTGGAAATTGGAACTAAGAGTGTCAGTGTGCCAGTTCCAAGCCTTGGCTTCGTGGGATATCGTTTGCTTCCACTTGTTCCCTCTTGTACTTCTGCTATCACACCCCATCTCGACCACTGGTCCAAGGAAGATGAGACATTTGAAACAGCCCTAGATTCAACCTAAACTTAGAATCAAGCTAGATTAGCCAAACCTAGCCACACTACAAAAGTATGAGTGAGAAAAATAATTATTGTATCAAACCTGAATGTAGGCGATATGGTTTGCATCTGTGTCCCTGCCCAAATATCATGTCGAATTGTAATCCCCAGTGTTGAAGGTGGGGCCTGGTGGGAGGTGATTGGATCATGGGCTTGGTTTCTAATGCTGTTCCCCATAATGCTGTTCTCCTGATAGAGTTCTCATGAGTTCTGGTTGTTTTCAAGTGTGTGGTACCTCCCCATCGCTCTCCCTCCTGGTCTGGCCATGTGAAGTGACTCACTCCCACTTCACCTTCCACCATGATTGTAAGTTCTCTGAGGCCTCCACAGAAGCCTAGTAGACCCTGCCATGCTTTCTGTACCCAATTAAGCCTCTTTTCTTGATAAATTACCCAGTCTCCACTATTTTATAGTAATGTGAGAATGGACAAGTACAGAAGTGGTCATTACACAATATTACAGTGGCAATAGTTGATGCAATGAAAACACATTTGGTAAAATTCAACGCCTGCATGGCTTAAAACACTGTCATATAACTACTGGCAAACTGTGGTAAGCTAATAGTAGGAAAATGCTTCCTTAATTTAAAAAAGAAAAAAGTTTCTACAAGAAACCTGAAGCAAGCATCATACTGAAAGGTAAAACATTAGAATTAGTCACATAAAAGTCAGGAACAAGACCAAGATGCCAACTTCCAGGGATATATTTTTCAAAAATTAGTCCTAGGCAATGAATAAAATAAGAAAAAATAAGACGTATGAATATTGGAAGAAAAGAGACAAAAACGTTCTGATTTACAGGCATAGAGTTGTCCATCTAAAAAATACAACTCAACCAAAAAAGCAGAGCCTGAACAAGCTTGGGTGCAGGTGGTTTATTTTGGAGGGGATCCCAGGAAGCAGGACTTGGGAAGAAGGAGGATGGGTTTGGGAAGAAAGAAAAGCCACATAAATTTGTGTCCTAGTGTTGAGGTTGATCTTGAGGGAATGAGACTCCCTCCCACCAGGACCCTGACACACATGCAGAAATCTCCCAGACTGTCCGCCCAAAGGACAGGAGGTAGGAGCACTACGCTTTCAGTTTCTGATCCCTGCTGGTCAAGGGTTACTCTGGGGAACCCTGACTCCCCTGAACATCCGGGTTGCTGTTGCCCATGGGATAAGGGGTTTCCAAGGTTCTGTCAAAAGTCAGCATGGATGAATGTTTTAGGAAATGTTCCTGAGGGGCTGCAACACAGCCCGGAGAAGTTTGCACAGGGCCTGGGAACAGGAATTAAGGCAGTGAGAGCATGCACAGGAGCCTAGGCCACAGGGAGACCCTGGGGAGCAGGGCTCAGGCAGCTGGGGAAACAGTGAAGAAAGAGGATGTTTGGGAGAATGGAGCAGGGAGAAGGGCAAGCCCCCAGAAACAAGAAAGGCCACAAAGACTGCCTCTGGCATCTTCTTCTTCTGTCCACTCTGGTCCTCCGGCCCTCCCGCCCCACCCCCACCGCCTGCTGAGGCTCAGGCATTTGGCCAAAATTCCCACCCTCTCCCCTTCTGGCTCCCACTTCACCTCACATTCCAACAAGAGCTCGGTCTGGTACAGAAATGCAATCCTCACTTTTGGGCACAGGTATCGCAAAATCAGAGGCCTCCTCTAAAATCCTCAAATTTGTGTTTTGATTTGTTGACAAAGATAACTGGAGTTCCTTGCAGCCAACATAAACTAACGGCAAGCCCTCCTGGAGGGAAGTCCTTCCCTAATCCCCTAAGCCCAGTCTCAGCGGTTCTCATGCAGCCTTCCCGGAGAAAGGTCTTGGGCGGAGAGTCTTGGGTTCTAGCCCCAGCTGCAAACGGCCACTTGGCTTGGTGACCCAGGGATAGTTACTTATCCTCCCTTGGCCACCATTTCCCAGCTGTGAAGTGAGAATAAGAATAAGACAAAGCAGGCCAGCTCCTTCCTGTACCACAGGGCTTGTGCAAAAGTACACAGTCCTGGAGTTTGAAAGCAAAGTACTCAATGGGAAACCACAGCTTATTTCAAATCACCTTTTTCAATTCAAAAACATTGACTGGTGCCTACCTTATGTTAGGTTATGTGCTAAGCATTGTGGGAGATTCTCACCCAGCCAGGAGTCTGTCAACTCCCCTCTTTTCACCTGAACAGTTACCTTCATCCTCACTCAACCTCCACCTACCCCCATCCTTGCTACTAGCTCTAACCTGCATCCTTGACTGCATTCTGCCCCACCCGCCACCAGAAACTCACCCTGCCTTTCTTTCCATCAGCGTCTCCCTCTGTACCAGCTCTTACCTTTTACCCCTCAATACTCTCATATTTTTCTCATTCTGGAGAAAAAGACACCTTTTTCTTTCTCAAGTGTCTCCCCAGCATTGTCAACCAAGCCACACTTTCAGCTCTCAACTTGACATGAACAATGAGACTTTTTCTGTAAGGGGTCAGATAGTAAATACTTGAGGCTTTGCAGGCCATATGTTCTCTGCCACAACTACTCAACTCTGTCATTGCAGTGTGTATTAGTAAGGGTTCTCTAGAGGGACAGAACTAACAGGATAGATGTATATATAAAGGGGAGTTTATTAAGGAGTATTGACTCACATGATCACAAGGCGTGAGGTTCCACAGTAGGCCGTCTGCAAGCTGAGGAGCAAGGAAGCCAATATGAGTCCCAACACCTCAAAAGTAGGGAAGCCGACAGTGCGGCCTTCAGTCTGTGGTCAAAGGTCCCAGAGTCCCAAAGCCGAAGAACTTGGAGCCCGATGTTCGAGGGCAGTAAGCAACCAGCACGGGAGAAAGACGGAGGCCAGAAGACTCAGCCAGTCTAGTCTTTCCACGTTCTTCTGTCTGCTTTTTATTCTGGTCACTCCAGCAGCTGATTAGATGGTGCCCACCCAAAATTGAGGGTGGGTCTGCCTCTCCCAGTCCACTGACTCAAATGTTAATCTTCTTTGGCAACATCCTCACAGACACACCCAGGAACAATACTTCGCATCCTTCAGTCCAATCAAATTCACACTCAATATTAACCACTACATAGTGCAAACACAGCCACTGACAATTCATAAACACATAAACATGCTGTGTTCCAACAAAGCTTTACAAACACAGCCTGGATTTGGCCCACAGGCTGTAGTTTGCAGATCTCTGATCTAGGAAGTGCCTCTGAAACATTAATGTACACACAACTCACCTGGGGATCTTGTTAAACAGCAGTCTCTGATTCAATAGGTCTGGAGTAGCACCTATAATCTGCATTTCTAAAAAGCTCCAGGTGATGCTTGTGCCAGTGGTTTAAGGAGCAAGAAATCTTGATGACTTCTGTGATAGGCACATCTAACTCAGCTGCCAACCCAAACCTCTCCTCCCCTGCTGTCTTCCAATATAGAGGGTGTAAATGCCAAATAAGGGCTCTCTCATCTTCCATTGCAGCCAAGTGGCCAGGTAAACCCGTTCTCATCAATATAATGAAAGCAAAATACTAAAGGTCTCTCAAGAGGTTCACCATTGCACGCTTCTCCCCTTCCTGACTTCTCAATGATTTGGGAATTAAGAAAAAGGAGTGGCATTTGGGGGCCTAAATTTCACCCTTCTTATTATAAAGGCTAAATTAATGGAGAGCATAGTTTATTATGAAATAGGCCTGTTAATTGAATCACAAGAGAAGGCAGATTTACCCATTCCAGGTTGACTGGGACAGTTCTCCCCATCTGGATAGAGAGATGGGGTAAGACTTATGGCCCAAAATGGCAGAGGAGAACTGACACCTGCAAGTAGGCTATCTCCTAGAGGAAAACTCAAGTTGCTGAGCTTGGCAGGTTCAGTTTATTCTTCCCAAATTTAGCAGCCAGCTACATCATTCCACCTCACCTGAGACAGAGTAAATAAAGGAGCAGAACAAAACTGGAGGTGAAGCAGAAGGAAGGGACCCATCATAAGTGGGACAGCCATATCACTACCCCACAAAGACCTCTAGCTTTTAGTTTCTTAACATATTGACTTAAATTATCAAACTTCTGGTCAAGAGGAGGTTTGTAGTCTGATAAAGAAGTCTCACACTCATGTTCATGAGACTGCAATACTACATTTTTGCCTTTTGTATCTTCCTGGGAACACAAGTGAGCAATTTTCATTTTCCCCAACAAGAGTCTGAAAGGTGTCAGAAGAGTACATTAATTAAGCCTCAAGATTATTCTGAACCCAAGGCCTGAAATTCATTCATCTATATTATTTATTTCCCAAATTACATCCAGCATGCTGTCCACATAACTAATCAGAGGATGTGAATGAATGATTAATTTGTTCAACAAATATTTAATGAGCATCTACTTTGTTCCAGGTATTGTTCTGAATGCTAAAGATGCAACAGTGAACCAAAAACACGAACATTTCTGCCCTCATGCAGCTCATATTCCAATGGGGACAGGTAGACAAGAAACAATCATCATAATAAACAAGTCGTAGTTTTGAAGGTGATAAGCATCATGGAAAAGAGAAAAAGTAGAGCAGGAAGGTGGGATAAGGAGCACTGGGAGGAAGGGGGCATGTTGCACTTATAAAGGGGGGTGAGGATAGATCTCTTCAGGAAGGGTGCCTTAAGCAATGACTTGGAGTGAAGAGTTATCAGCGTAGATAATTGGAGAAATGTATCCCATGCACAGGGCACAATCATTGCAAAAGCCCTGAGTTACAGGTGGGCTTGGTCTGTTTAATGAAGAATAGATTGGCTGGAGTGGAGTGAAAAAAAACGGTAGGGAGCTCAGGTAGGTAATGCAGGGCCAGTTAAAAAGGGGACTGTAACAGGCTACTCTTGCATTGCTATAAAGAAATACCTGAGACTGGGTAATTTATAAGAAAAGAGGTTTAATTGGCTCCCATCTCCGTAGGCTGTACAGGAAGCATAGGACCAGCATCTGCTTTTGGGGAAGCCTCAGGAAGCTTTTACTCATGGCAGAATATGAAGTGGGAGCAGGCACATCACATGGCTAGAGCAGGAGCAAGGGGTTGGGGAGGTGCCACACACTTTTAAATGATCAGATCTCATGAGAACTCACTCACTATTGCAAAGACAACACCACGCCATGAAAGATCTGACCATATGACCCAAACACCTCCCACCAGACCCCACCTCCAGCACTGGGGATTACAATTCAATTTGGGCAGGGACAAATATCCAAACTACATCAGGGACCGTCTAGAGGAATGGATTTACGACTTGTGCTTTTATAGGATCACTGTGTGGCTGCTGTGTCAAGAACAGAAAGCAGGAGAGAAAGGGTGGAAACAAGAATACCAAGGAAGAGGCTCTTGCAAGTGAGAGGAGATAGTGGCTCTGACCAGGTGACAGCAGTGGAGCAGGTGAGAAGGGGTTGAATACTAGACAAATTTCCAACGTAGCACTAACAGGATTTCTTGGACAGTTGGATACAAAAAAGAAAAAGAGTCAAGTATTTCATGGTCGTTCTTGCATTGAGATTAAATGATAATAAGACACTTGATCTTGGGGACCTCAAGAATATGAAAGTGAATAGGTTGGCATATTCTTTCCACAGAAAAACAAGAATTTAAGTGGCAAAAATGATGTTTTGAAAACATCACTTATAGTCTCTAGAATTGTTCTAAGGGCATACACAAGATGGAGAAATACTCATTCAAGAAAGTCTACTAAATTTCAGCAAGGATGGCAAGAGTCTGTGGTATTTCGGCCATGAAGACAGAGGCTTCGTTTTCCCCCAGTTTCCAGCCTAGGGCTACACTTTCACCCTTGAGAGGGGCAGGGCTCCAGTGTTTCTCATGCCCTTCCAGCCCTATGTTGCAGAAGCTCTATTCTGAGTAGGTATGGATAAAAGGTCTGAGGACCCCTGCGCCTACTGAACCCCTATCATATGGTGGAAGCCCTAGCCTAGATGTAGCAGGCTGAGCATACTGAGGCTCCAATCATCTCGGCCCCAGCTCATTCATCAAATAGAGGTTTCATGCTTGTAGAGAAAGGCTGAGAAGAGGTTACCACTCCTTCCAATACTTGCTTGCAGAGGAAGGGAGAAACAGTCCACTGCCCCAACTCCAGGTCCTGTGCAGTTGTGCAGATATTCTTCCCAGGGGAAGTGATAGGTCATAAGGATGAAGAACTCTACAACATTGTCTGACGAAACTGACTCTTTTTGGAACTGAATGTGGAAAAGTCCATGCCTAAGGGTGTTATTGAAAACAAGGAGATGTTGGTGAAGGGTAATCGAGAGGGTGCTGGTATCTCTATGATTATGGTAGCAACAGTATCAGTGAAATGGCAGAATGTCCAGAAGTTTGACAGAAACAAACAGCATGAAAGATAGCCCAGAAGAACCCTCTTGGGATCATAGCAATCCCTGAGGATCAAGAAGATTGTGCACATGCACTATGCACGCTTAGGAGCAATCAAACTGGAGATGGGCCAGACTTGTAAGCATTCCCCACGCAAAACACAGATTTATCAACAAAGAACATAGGCCTCATACACACAAGGAGTTTAAACACAACCTCTGATAAAACACTGGCTAAACAATAAGCTACTATAACCCAGGGGAACTCTTAGAAAACTGGGCTTAAAAATAAATCCACACAGGTCCCTGGAAAAATGCATGTAAGTCTGGAAAAATGCATGTAAGCCCAGGACTACGCCCTTTCAGGAGTGATTGGAAAAGGAACCTCCAAGCTAGTCCCTGGCTGAATGTGGGGCCAAAACATAAACTCCCGGGACTGTAATAGCAACCTCTAAGCCCCCAACACACAGCCCCCACAAAAGGGAGAGGAGGTAAGCATCTATCAGGCTAAAGTAACGTAAACACAACATCTGACCAATAAGTACCACCTGTGGATTCAAGGGTGATTCCTAGGTAGCCAGACTAAAAAATAAAAACAAGAAATGCAAATCAGAACAGAAACATGAGAGGCTGCACAATGCAAGGAAAATAGACTTAACAAAGTTAGCTTAGCAAAGTTACCAAACAAAGAAACAAATTGCCAAGCAAGCAACAACGGTAACATCAACCCCAGGGCAAGGAGAAAAGGAAATCAGTATCCAGAGCTGCTACAACATATTTTCTAAAATGTTCATTTTTCAACAAAAAATTATGAGCTATGCCAAGAAACAGGAAAGCATGACCTTAACCTTATACCTAGGGAAGAAAGCAGCAAAAAATAGAAATTACCTTTTAAAAAACCCAGATGATGAACATAGCAAACAAAGACTTCAAAGTAGCTATTATAAACATGTTCAAACAACTAAAGAAAGCTATATTTAAAGAACTAAGGAAATTATGATTGAAAAAATTCTCATTAAATAGAAAACATCAATTAAAATCAGAATTTTTTTTTTTTAACAGAGTCTGGCTCTGTCACCAGGCTGGAGTGCAATGGCGTGATCTCAGCTCACTGCAACCTCCACCTCCTGGGTTCAAGCAATTCTCCTGCCTCAGCCTCCCAAGTAGCTGGGATTACAGGTGCCCATCACCATGCCCGGCTAATTTTTGTATTTTTAGTAGAGACGGGGTTTCACCATGTTGGCCAGGAGAGTCTCGATCTCCTGACCTTGTGATCTACCCACCTCCACCTCCCAAGGTGCTGGGGTTACAGGCATGAGCCACCGTGCCTGGCCCAGAAATTTTTAAAGAACCAAATGGAAATTCTAGAGGTGAAAATGGCCAAAATGAAAAATTCACTAGAGGGACTCAACAGTAGATTTGAGCTGACAAAATAAAGAATCAGTGAACTTGAAGGTAGATCAATAGACACTATGCAATCTGGAGAAGAGAGGAAAAAGAATGAAAAGTGAACAGAGACTCAGAAAAATGTAGTACACCATTAAGTACCCCCACATATGTGTAACAGGAGTAATGAAGTACCAGAAGGGGAGTAATGGAGTACCAGACGGAGAGTAAAAAGAAAAGAGAAGAAAAAAATGTTCAGAGAAATAATGGCTGAATACTTCCCAAATTTGGTGAAAGACATTAATCTACACATCCAAAATGAACTACATGTAGGATAAACAGAGAGAGATCCATACTCAGATACATCATAGTCAAAATATTGAAAACCAAATACAAAAGAAAAACTCAAAAACACTAAAAGAAAACCAATTCATCACATACAAAGGACTTTCAATGAGATTAACAGCTTATTTCTCATTAGAAACAATGAAGGCAAGAAGGCAGTAAGATGACATATTGAAACTCCTGGAAAAAAAAAAAACCTGTCAACTAATAATTTTATATCTAGCAAAAATATGTTTCAAAAACAAAAGTAAAAGAAAGACATTCCCAGATAAACAAAAGCTGAAAGAGTTCATGGATAGCAGACCTGCATTATTAGAAATAATAGGCCAGGCACGGTGGCTCAAGCCTGTAATCCCAGCACTTTGGGAGGCCGAGGTGGGCAGATCACGAGGTCAGGAAATCGAGACCATCCTGGCTAACATGGTGAAACCTCATCTCTACTAAAAATACAAAAAAAAATTAGCCAGGCATGATGGTGGGCACCTGTAGTCCCAGCAACTCAGGAGGCTGAGGCAGGAGAATGGCATGAACCCAGGAGGCAGAGCTTGCAGTGAGCCGAGATCGTGCCACTGCACTCCAGCCTGGGTGACAGAGCGAGACTCTATCTCAAAAAAAAAAAAATTTTTTTTCAATAAAGTTAAAAAGATTAAAATCATCCAAAATATGTTCTCTAACTATAATGAAATAATATTAGAAAGCCATAACAGAAGAACATTTGGGAAATTTGCTAATGTGAAAATTAAACAGCACACTCTTAAATAAACAATGGGTCAAAGAAGAAATCACAAAGAAAATCAGAAAATACTTCAAGATGAACAAAAATGAAACTATGACATACCAAAACTTATAAGATGCAGGTAAAGTAGTGCTCAGAGAAAAATTTGTAGCAATAAATGCCACTACTAAAACTCATCTCAAATAAATATCCTAGTCTTTCATTATAAGAAACACAAAATTAAGAGAAAATAAAACCCAAAGCAAGCAGAAGGAAAAAATAATGAAGTTTATAGTGAAAATAAGTGGGAGAGATTACAGAAAAACAGAGAAAATCAAAGCAACAAAAAGGTGGTTCCTTGAAAGAGAACAAAATTGGCAAATCTCTAGCTAAATCGACCAAAAAAAAACAAAAAAACAAAAAGAAAGAAACTCAAATTACAAAAATCAGAATGAAAGAGGACACATTGTAACCGACCTCACAGAAATGAAAAAGATTATAAGAGAAAATTAGGAACAACTGTTTATATCCAAAAATTCCACAACCTTGATGAAATAGCTATTTCCTAGAAAGATACAAACTGCTAAAAAACAACTTAAGAAATAAAAAATCTGATAATTCAGGTGATTAAATTAATAATTTAAAACATTCCACAAAGTAAATCTCAAAGCACATGACTTCAGTGATGAATTCTACCAAATATTTAGGAAATAATTAATATAAAAATTGGAAAGGATTCAAGGTTGGGGAAGATCAGTTGAGGTCAGGAGTTCAAGACCAGCCTGGGCAACATAGCAAGACCCTGCCTCTACAAAAATAATTTTTTTGTAATTAGCCAGGCATAGCATTGCATGCCTGTGATCCTAGCTATTTGGGTGGCTGAGCAGGAGGATCTCTTGAGCCCCAGAGTTTGAGGTTACAGTGATCTATGATCACACCACTGTACTCCAGCCTGGGTGACAGAGAAAGACCCATCTCTATAAAATAATAAAATAAAGTACATTTTAAAAATAAAAACTAAAGCAGAGGAAATATTTTCAAATTCATCCTACAAGGCCAGTTTTACTCTGATACCAAAATCATCACAAGAAAACTATAGACCAATATCCATTATGAATATTGATGCAAAAATCCTCAACAAAATGCAAACAAATCACATCCAGCAACATATAAAAAGAATTATAAGCCATAGCAGAGTGAAATGTATCTCAGGAAGACAAGGTTGGCTTGACATCTAAAAATCAATTAATGCAACATTGTATTAATAGGATGAAGAACAAAACCACATGATTATCCTTATAGACAGAGACAAAGCATTGAGAAAGCCCAACACTTTTCATAATAAAAAGAAAACACTCAACAAACTAGAAATAGAAAGGAAACTTCCTCAACCTACTAAGTCACATCTACAAGAAACTCACAGCTAACATCATATTTAAAGATGAAAGACTGAATGCTTTCTCCCTAAGGGAAGATCAGGAACAGAATACGAACAGCTACTTTCATAACTTCTGTTCAACATTGTTGTATAAATTCTAGCCAGGACAATTTGGCAAGAAAAAGAAATAAAGACATCCAGATTGAACAGGGAAAAGTAAAACTATACAGATGGTCTTGTATATTGAAAATGCTAAGTAACACACAGACACACACACACACAGACACACACACACACACACACACACACACACACCCCATGAATTAGAACTAATAAATGAGTTCAGCAAAGTGAAAAAATGTAAGACCAATATACCAAAATCAATGGTATGGGCTTCCAATTTCTGGTCTGGCCTGTAAGAAACTTGGAAGTAACCACTCTCCCCTAACAATAAGTTAAAAACTAAACAAACTAAAAAAATCAACAACTTTTCTTAGACTTCTTTAACAGAAGTGAGGTCACAGGGCAAATTGCTTCCCCCAAAATTGAAAAGACAGACAGGGAAAAACAAAGAATCACAACTTACCAGAGCAGAAAACCATAAGCAAAAACCACCAAAGGAACCAGTGCCAAGATAAAAATGCCTGAACTGGTTGCTTAATGTGGACAAGTCTGAGAGTTTAAAATCCCAGGGGGCACCAAGCAGTGGGGTGGCGGGGGGGGGCACACTTTTGCGACCAATAGCTTGACCTGATTCTCAAAGTGAATATTAGAGAAAATTTCTCTCCCACTTTCAGAAAGGTGAGGGGAAAATGAACCATTTTTAAACATGCCAGAATATTCTCTTCTTAGATGTGTTCTCAGGAGAAACTATTAACCAGAGTCTAATCTTTTGGGGTTTGATTAGACCCTAACTGACTTATGGGAAGAGAAATACTCAACTCCAGCAACTCTAACCTTTGATATGGAAGATGAAAAATGCCCAGCTCAAGCCTACTCTAGCAATTCTGTGCCATTTAAGAGGGAGAGAGAGGAATTGAGAGGTATTTGTCAAGTCCAGAGGCCCAGGCAATAAAGATTGAGACCTATTATAGGACTATAGAATGCTTCCCTTCTCCACAACTTACCATATTAACAAAGGCCTATATACAGAAGTTCCCTATATATACCACACCACATCTAGCTATCAAGAGAAAATTACAAGGCATATTAAAAGACAACACAGTTTGAAGAGACAGAACCACACTCGAGTATGGCAAGGATGTTGAAATGATCAGACTGGGAATCTAAAACAAATACAGTTAATATTCTAAGGGCTCTAATTAGTGAAGTAGACAGCATACAAGAACAGATGGGCAATGTGAACAGACTGATGAAAATTCTAAGAAAAAGCAATAAAGAAATGCTAGATATCAAAAACACTGTGACAGATATAGAGCGCCTTTGATGGGCTTATTAGTAGACAGGATACAGATGAGGAAAGATGCTCTGAGCCTGAGAATAGCACAATAAAAATCTCCCAAACTGAAAAGCATGGAGAAAAAATACAAAAAAAAAAAAAAATAGAATGGAACGATGTGACAACTACAAAAGGTGTAAATACACATAGTGGGAATATAGGAAGGAGGAGTAAGAAAGGAACAGAAGAAATATTTAAAACAAGAATAATTGATAACTTTCCCCAAAATTAAAGTCAGATAACAAACCACAGATCCAGAAAACTCAAAGAATACCAAGCAGGATAAATGCCAAAAAAAAAAAAAAAAAAAAAAAACACCTAGGCATATCATATTCAAACTACAGACAATCAAAGACAAAGAATAAATTCTAAAAGAAGCCAAAGTGGGGTGGGGGGCAGGAGGCACCTTTATTAGGTGGCGTTGAGAGAAAGAACCTAGAATTCTGTACCTGATGAAATTATCTTTCAAAAGTGAAAGAAAAATAAAGACTTTATCCAGGCCAGGTATGGTGGCTCATGCCTATAATCCCAGCACTTTGGGAGGCCAAGGCAGGCAGATCATTTGAGGCCAGGAGTTCAAGACCAGCCTGGGCCATATGGCAAAACCCCCTCTTTACTGAAAGTACAAAAATTAGCCAGGCATGGTGACGCATGCCTGTAATCCCAGCTACTCGAGTGACTGAGGCATGAGAATCGCTTGAACCCAGGAGGCAGAGGTTGCAGTGAGCTGAGATTGTGCCACTGCATTCCAGCCTGGGTGACACAGCAAGACTTTGTCTCAAAAAAAAAAAAAAATTTCATGATTTTATGATGGAGATACAAAACCTGAAAAGCAATTTAAAAATGGAGGGACTCTATTGTCAGTAGACCTGCCTTACAAGAAATGTTTAAAGAAGTTCTTTAAAGAGAAGGACAATAATATAATTCGGAAATTTGGATCTACATAAAGAAAGGAAGAATATTAGAGAGGAAATAAGTAAAAGCAAAACAAAACTTTTATTTTTCTTAGTCTTAATTGATCGAACAGATAACAGTTTGCTCTAAATAATAACAGTAATAATGGATTTGATTATGTATAAGTGAAACAAATGACAGCAATGTCACAAGGAATGGGAGGAAGGAATTGGGATAATTTTGTTATAAAGTATTTGTAATTCTCATAAAGTGGTATCATGACATTTGAAAGAGAATTGGATTAGTTGTAAATGTATATGGAAAACTCTAGGATAACAACTTAAAAATGTAAAAGAAGAAATAAGTTTAAAAAAAGAAGTATAACATATTCTTTTTTTTTCCATAGGTTATTCGTGTTTGGTTACATGAGTAAGTCCTTTAGTGGTGATTTGTGAGATTTTGGTGCACCCGTCACCCAAGCACTATACACTGCACCCTATTTGTAGACTTTTATCCCTCACCCCCCTCCCACTCTTTCCCCCAAGTCCACAAAGTCAATTGTCTGACATTGTTTTAAAAAGAAAGAAAACAGAATTATAAAATGTTCAATTAAAACCACAAAAAGAAGGAAAAGAGTGGAAGACAAATATAGGAACAAAGAATAATGGCAATAAACGGAAAACAGTAACAAATATGGTAGATATTAACCCAACTATATCAATAATCACATCAAACATTAATGGTCTGAATATATCAATTAAAAGACAGAGATTATCAGAGTGAGAAAAACAAGACTCAACTATAAGTTATGTACAAGAAACTCTTTTTAAGTATAAAGACACATATAGATTAAAACTAAAGGGATGGAAAAACATACACCATGCTAACATCAATCAAAAGAAGGTGGGAGTAGCTAAATTAATTTCAGACAGAGCAGACTCCAGAGCAAGGAAAGTTATCAGAGATGAAGAAGAGACATTACAAAATGATAAAGGAGTCAACTCTCTAAGAAATTATAACAATCCTTAACGTCACTGCACCTAACAAAAGGGCATCAAAGGCCAGGCGCGGTGGCTCACACCCGTAATCCCAGCACTTTGGGAGGCTGAGGCAGGCAGGTCACAAGTTCAGAAGATCGAGACCATCCTGGCTAACGTGGTGAAACCCGATCTCTACTAAAAATACAAAAAACTAGCCGGACGTGGTGGCAGGTGCCTGTAGTCCCAGCTACCAGGGAGGCTGAGGCAGGAGAATGGTGTGAACCTGGGAGGCGGAGCTTGCAGTGAGCCGAGATCATGCCACTGTACTCCAGCCTGGGCGACAGAGTGAGACTCTGTCAAAAAAAAAAAAAGAGCATCAAAATACGTGAGGCAAAAACTGATAGAGCTGCAAGGAGAAATAGATAAATTTACTTTTATAGTTGAAGACTTCAACACCTCTCTAGTAGAAATGGACATATCCAGCAGGCAAAAAAATCAGTAAGGACATTGTTTAATTCACACTACCACCAATCAATTAGACATAATGTACATCTATAGACTACTTCAGACAACAACAACAAAACACTAATTCTTCTCAAATTCATAGGGAACATTCACCAAGATAGACCACATTCTGGGCCACAAAACACCCCTTAACGAATTTAAGAGAATAAAAATCATACCATGTCTGCTTTCATTCCATACCAAATGGAATTAAAGTAGAAATCAATAAAAGAAGGATAGCTAGGAAATCTCAAAACAATTAAAGATTAAACAACACACTTCCAAATAACACATAGGTCAAAAAAGAAGTCTCAAGAGAAATTTAAAAGTACTTTGAACAAAATGAAAATGAAAACACCACTTATCAAAATTTGTAAGATGTGGTAAAAGAAGTGCTTAGTTAGTAATTTATAGCACTGAATACATACATTAGAAAAGAATAAAAATCTGAAATCCATAATCTAAGCTTCCACCTTAGAAAAAAGAAAAACACAGCAAATTAAACCCAAAGTAGGCAAAAGAAAAGAAATAATAAAATCAAAGCAGAAATCAATGAAACTGAGAACAGAACATCAATAAGGAAAATCAATGAAACCAAAAGCTGTTTATTTTTAAATATCAATAAAATTCTTTAGCCCTTAGAATAAGA
This sequence comes from Homo sapiens, assembly GCF_000001405.40. Classification (NCBI taxonomy): domain Eukaryota; kingdom Metazoa; phylum Chordata; class Mammalia; order Primates; family Hominidae; genus Homo; species Homo sapiens. Next base: position 4,345,943 of record NC_000020.11, on the reverse strand, counting down.
ACAAACAAAGAGGACACAAATTTATAATATCAGAAATGAAAGATGAAACATCACTGCAGATCCCTTAGACATTAAAATAAGAAAATCTGACTGAAACTAATCCTTGACAAAAGAGTAAAGGCAACACAATGAAGAAAAGAGTGTTTTCAACAAATGGTGCTAACACAACTGGCCATTCATTTAAAAAAAAAAAAACAAACATGAAGCTAGAGACAGACCTTATACCTGTCACAAAAATTAACTCAGAATTGATCACAGACCTAAATGTAAAATGCAAAACTATAAAACTCCTAGAAGATAACACAGGAGAAAATCTAGATGATGTCTGATGATGACTTTTTGATAAACACCAAAGGCACAATCTGTTGAAAAAAAGAATTGATATGCTAAATTTTATTAAAATTAAAAATTTGTACACTGTGAAAGACACTTCCCAGTTGAAAGATTGGTAAGAGATTTGAAAGACATTTCTCCAAAGAAGATATGCAAATGAACAATACGTATATACAAAAGATGCTCAACATCATTAGTCATTAGAGAAATGAAAAATTAAAACTATAATGAGATACCATTCATGCCCACTAGGCTAGCTATAATCAAAGAGATTGGTAATAACAAGTGTTGGCAAAGATGTGGAGAAATTGGAACGCTTTTGTACTGTTGGGGGGAATGTAAAATGGTGCAGCCACTGTGGAAACAGTTTGACAATTCCCCAAAATGCTAAGCATAGAGTAACCATATCCCCCAGCAATTTTACTCCAAGTATATACCCAAGAGAAATAAAAATATACATCCCTGCCAAAATTTGTTCATGAATGATTATAGCAGCATTATTCATAATATCCAAAAACTAGAAACAGGCCAAATGTCCATTAACTGATGAACAGATTAAACAATATACAGTTTACCCATACAATAAAACATTATTTGGCAATAAATAGGAATTAAGTACAATCCACACTAAGCGAAAGAAAACATACTTGAAAACCGTGTACATCCTTGAAAACATGCCAAGTGAAAGAAGCCAGTCACAAAATACTGCATAATGTATGATTCTATTTAAATGAAATGTGCAGAATAGGCAAATCTATAAACACAAAAAGATTTGTGGTTGCCTTAGACTGGGGAGAGGTTGTAGGGGAATGAGGAGTGACTGTTAATGGGCATGAAGTTTTTTTGGGGGGTGATGAATATGTTCTAAGCTTACATTGCATTGATGGTTGCACAACCTTGTGAATATACTGAAAATCACTCAATTGTACACTTTCAGTGGGTGAAATTTATGATACGTGTATTGCATTTCAGAAAAGAGGTTTTCAAATGTTTGTGTTAAGATACTCCAATAATGAAATGCATAGACAGTCCAGCAGTAAAATGCTAACATACCCCAAATTTGAAAATAAGCCTACTTTCTTCAAATATTACTTATATCCATCCCTGACCCCTTCCCAAATCCCAGCTTACATTTTCTACTCCCTATGGAGCCCCCCACCTGGATTTCCTGTTGGCCCCTATGCTCACAAATTGCCCTCAATCTGAGCCTTCTCTTAGGTGCCTCTTGCTGATGGTAGCCCCATCGTTTTTGCAATCTAGATCAAAAAACTCAGGACCATCTCTAAATCCTACATCTCCTTTGTTCATAAACCCAGGTGACTCTACCTCTAACCAAGTTTACTCATTCCTCTCTTCCCCTCCATGCCCACTGCTGCTGCTGCTCCCTCAGTCCAGACCATCGGTTTTCTTCCTGAATTAATGACATCCTCTAGCTTCCCCCATCAACCTGCACCCACACCAGATTAACAGTCCCTGGAAAAGCACAGGTTACATCACACCAAAGCTCAACAACTGTAGGTGGCTGCCTGTGCTTATTGAATAAAGTCCAAGTTCTTTCATCTGGAAATTCAGGACTTCTATGATTTTGTTTTATTTTTTTTTTTAATTTCCAAACTATCTGCCACCCAATGATTCCCTTTACAAATGCTTTATATTGAAAACCATCTATTGGCCGGGTGCGGTGGCTCACACCTGTAATCCCAGCACTTTGGAAGGCCAAGGTGGGTGGATCACCTGAGGTCAGGACTTTGAAACCAGCCTGGCCAACATGGTGAAACCTCGTCTCTACTAAAAATACAAAAATTCGTGGGGCATGGTGGCGGGTGCCTGTAATCCCAGCTACTCAGGAGGCTGAGGCAGGTGAATCGCTTGGACCCGGGAGGCAGAGGTTGCGGTGAGCTGAGGTCATGCCATTGCACTCCAGCCTGGGTGACAAGAGTGAAACTCCATGTCAAAAAAAGAAAACTAACAAACAAAAAAACCATCTATTGTTCCCTTTGAGTTTCACTAAACTCCCAATTCCTTGCTGTCTTCCCCCTAATACATCATTTCTCCTTGTCTATGAATGTCCAAATGAATCTGAAGCAATACCCCCTTCTTTTAAGGTATCTTATACCAGTGATGACACAGAGCACTGTCCAGATATTTTAACTTTATGCACATTTATACATTTTATTGCTATCTCTAACCCGAGTTCTTTAGTCTTCATTCTGTCCCCTCTCTTCAATATGCATCCAAAATATAAAAATAAATAAATAAACATTTTTTAAAGGAAAAATTTTTTTTCCTAAGAGGGGGCCAAAAATATTTTTTAAAAAAGAAAAAACATTGCATCCAATCTTTGCTATGGGTTTCTTGAGAATCTAAACTGTGCTTGATTTGTAATTCTCAGAGTCTCTTGCACAGTGCCAGGCACTCAGTAGGTATTTAATAAAGGTCCATTAAAAACAAAGGAGGGAAGAAAAACAGAAGATACGCTTCCTGGCCTTGAGGAACATATAAACTCATGTGGAAGCTGGGTGGAACTTATTCAGATGCAAACAGAATAAGGGAAGTATAACAATAAACGTGTCTCCAAGTGCTACGTAGCACAACGGTGACATTTAATACAACTGTGGGGAACTGGAAGAGGCTACTGATTTGGGTGGGATTTTAATAGATAGATTTGGGGTGAAGAACATTACAGGTTAAGAGACTAACATCAACAAAAACCCAGATAGAAAAGTGTCAAACATATTTGCAAGAAGTGAACCGTGGGATATGATTGATGAGTAGGCTCATGCTTGGGTGAAGGGAGACAGGGTTCTGTAAGTAGAGATAAGCCCTGCAAAGCATGTTGGAGACAGATCACAGAAAAGGTTGAATCCCAGGATGGAAAGTTTGGACTTTATTCTGTGGGCAGTGAGGATCCCTGAAGATATTTAGCTGAGCAACGAAAGAGCCCAAAAGTCAAAGGAGCCTGAAGGACAGTTTCCTGTAAAGCAAAGAAAGCTGTGTTTTAGTGAATACTCAGCTGCTGATTTACCTGATTGGGTATTCAGCTGTGAGTGCCTCAAGAAATGGGGGTGGGGGAAGGTAATAGCGATTAAGTTTTGAAGGGACTTCAAAGAGTTCAGCTTACTTTTTTTTTTTTAAATTCTGAAAACCTCTGTTTTCTTAAAGTACACATAAGTTAACCAAAGATTCCAGGATAAGTTTCTGTTTGGATAATGTTTATTTTGGTACCTTGAAAGCTTGGCAGTTGCTTAGAAATTCAATTACAACTTGCCTTTAAACAAAACCACCCTTGGGAATGGTGGGTTTGAGCTGATCTCAATATATTAACTTGACATTATGAGGCAGTTATGCTGCAGGTTCAGAGGGTTGATTAAATCTTAAAGTGAATACAGAACAGGCGCCGAAAGCACACATTTTGTTTAATTGGCTCCTTTAGTAGAAGAGACAAAGGGAAAGAAACAGCAACATAAATGGAGGCTATTTTTATTGTCGTTTAAAGGGAGGCCTCCTCTGTGTCAAATGGGAAAACCTAGCGCCAGTGCCCAGGGCTTTTCTTCAAGACTGTGGATACACAGAGAAAACCACAGATTGACGGGGCTAGAAGGACACGGAGGCTCCAAGCCACAAATAAGCCTGTGGGGGAAGAGAGGAATGTTAAATGCTGACAAAGTGCTCAATCAAAACTTCAGCATGCTGTAGCAATTAGTCATTGTATACAACTCTTTAAATGAATTCAAGTATTAACCCCAATAAGTGGCAGAGACATTTATTTCCCACTTGTAATAATAAAATGCTTTTCCACATTTTCCAGGCTGTCTGGTAGTTAGGTAGAAACCATGGGACTAGTTCTGGCCAAGGGACTAAGAGCAGAAATGAGGGATGTCAGTCGTAAGCATTTAGAAGTCAGCATTTAGGAGTTGGTGTTCTGCCTCATGTCCTCCTCTCTTCCCCTCTTAACAGCTGTCTTGAAGGCCCCATGTTCCAGCAATCAGCAGAGGGATGGTGAAGCACCTGTCAACTGAGGTTCCTGAGTGAGAAATAAACCTTAGTTGGGTCAAGACACTGAGATATTAGGGTTTATATGGACCACAGCATAGCCTAATCTATTATTACTAATTCATCCCCCAAATCCACTTTCTCCACTGTGTTAGATCCCCTAAGTTTTGGCTGGACACACGGCTACCCAGAATAAAGACTGTATTTTCCCAACCTGCCTAGTGGCTGAGAGAAGGAATATGTTTAAAATCCAGCCAATGGGACATAAGTGGAAATATTGCCCCTTCCTTAAAGGAGCAGCAGTAATATATCTTTTGCTGTTCTTTCTCTCTCTCTCTTTTTTTTTAACACAGAGTCTCACTCTGTCACCCAGGCTGGAGTGCAGTGGTGTGATTTTGGCTCACTGCAACCTCCACCTCCTGGGCTCAAGTGATCCTCCCATCTCAGCCTCCCAAGTAGCTGGGACTACACCAGCTAATTTTTATATTTTTTGTAGAAATAGGGTTTTGCCATGTTGCCTAGGCTGGTCTCAAACTCCTGGGCACAAGCAATCCACCCGCCTCAGCCTCCCAAAGTGCTGGGATAACAGGCGTGAGCCTCTGCGCCCAGCCTCTCTTCTTCTTTATCCTGCAACCTGGAAGGTAGATGCTGCCATCTTTGACTAGCAGCCCAGGTCACAAATGGAAGGAGCAACAAGGTAGAAGAAACCAGAGACCCTGATACCACAGAGCACCATCACCACTGTGGGCAGCCTGCTCAAAGTTTTATGTGAACAAGAAATAAATTTCTACCTTGTCTAAGTCATTGCTGTTTAGAATTTTCCACATATTCAGACGTCTACCTAGTAGACTGCCTGGCTTTTTCACATCTTCTGCAAATATCTTGGGATGAGTGCCAAACAAGGTCAGAATCAACACTAGGACTACCCAGTAGAGTGGATAGTTTAGATGGATCACCAAGACTTCCGATGACCCCTTAACAACTCTTCAAGGAAAAGGAACCTGGAAGAAGCAGAGGACGTTTGAGGATGCATGTACAGTTAGCAATAGAGGAGAATCTCTGACCGGCTTAGAAAATCAGTCCTACCTAGGAGGAAGAGACTGTAATTGTTCATTAAAATTTGAAATCTATTTCTCTTTCTCTTCTTGGCCCTTAGATAAACTCCTGGCAAGAAAAAAGCCACTTCCTCCCCCTGATTTGACTTCATTTTTACAGTTTTATGTTTCCCTCTTGGTAGATGGAATTCTTTCCCCATTTTGAATGAAACTCATTGCTACTTATTTCCCAGGCTGTCATTCATTCCTTATGTTTTCTCTTCACAGTAAATAGTTCTTTCCAGAGAATAAAGGCTCAGTGAGTGTGACCTTTCCTGATTCTTTGTGTCACTTTTGCTCTCATAATCCATGGTTTGGTGCCAAGAACCCTCTTCTGCTACGGAACGAGATGATCCCTATATCTAGTGAATGACCACTAGAAGAAAAGCTCTATGAAGGCAGAGATTTCTATCGATGTGTCTCTAGTACCTATAAAAGCACCTTGCATACAGTAGGAAATATATATATAATTTGCTGAATTTAATTGAGTTAAATCTATAATAGCCTTCCCTACTTAATCTCACCAACATCCCACCACTTACCCTTGAGTCACCTCAGTTTGTGTGTGTCCAATGTACAGTAATATCTCAAGTGGCCAACAGCCAGAATCTGGAAAAAATAAATATTAAACTTAAATAAACTAATAGCCATCTCTTTTTTAAAGCAAACTTCTTATGCAGAATTTTAAGCAATGGGTAAATTAAGTTTATTACTAACCATAAAGCCTTGAAAATATGACGCTTCTTGTATACTAGTCAGCTCTATCTACAATCATGCTGCAATAAAAACCATCTCCCAAATTCAGTGGCATAGAATAACAAGCACTGATTCTCCGGCTAACACATGTGCAAGTTGGCTGGCTTGCCTAATCTAATCCAGGCTCAGCTGGACTTGGTTCCAAGGTATAGGCCAGACCCAGATCTGCTCTTTTTGTCTCCATATTTTCCTTGTCCAGCAGTTACCCAGGGTATATTCTCGTGGCAAAAAGCAAGAGCACAAGAAGATAAATCCAACACACAAGTATATTTCAAGCCTCGGTTTATGTCCTATCTGCTAACATCTCATTGGCCAAAGAAGGTCACATAATTGGGCTCAAAGTCAAGGGATTAGGGAATACAATCTACCCAACATAACACCATAACAAAGGAATGAATGTGCAGAACAGGAAGGGGAGAATTGAGACCAATGATTCACTTTATCACACTAGGTTTGAAAAATGTCAGATATAAAATCAGGTCATTTTCTGTTATCAGTACAACTCTATTAAACATTGTCAACTTCATAAGAAAAAGAAATGGGGTATAAAGTCCCCAAAACTTAATAGTCCTTAAGTCTGGAATATATTCCTCTGTTTTTGAATGAACAATACATGCTGGGTAAAGGTGGTGAAGATGTGCCTTAGGTTCACATCCTCTCCCAACATGGTAGCACGTTCTAGACTTCAGTTCTAACTTCGTCCTTACCCAAAGCTTTTAATTCTGCCCCTTGGTAAACCCTCCCAATAGAACAGTTCTCTGGGATAATAGTAGCAAATGGCAGGAAAAACAACTTGAGGCTATTTTATTTAAAACCTTCTTCCTGCAAAGGACACGAACTCATTCTTTTTATGGCTGCATAGTATTCCACAGTGTGTATTGCCACATTTCCTTTATCCAGTCTCTCATTGATTTGAGTTGGTTCCAAGTCTTTGCTATGGATGAAGCTGGAAACCATCATTCTCAGCAAACTAACACTGGAACAGAAAACCAAATACCACATGTTCTCACTCGTAAGTGGGAGTTGAACAATGAGAACACATGGACCCAGGGAGGGGAACATCACACACCAGGGCCTGTCAGGGGGTGAGGGGCAAGGGGAGGGATAGCATTAGGAGAAATACCTAATGTAGATGATGGGTTGATGGGTGCAGCAAACCACCATGGCACATGTATACACATGTAACAAAGCTGCACATTCTGCACAGGTATCCCCGAACTTAAAGTATAATAATAAAAAAAGAAAAACAAAAAAACAAAAAACAGAAAGCTTCTTCCTGGTTGGGATGACGGTTTCGTGTCAGATTAAAATGAAAGTTCCTTGAATGCCAGAGGAAGGAGTATAAAGTTATGGAGGGTTGGGGAATGTTAGAGACTCCCCACCCCGCCACCCATGGCATGAGCCCTTTGACATCTGACCCCATAAGTGGTCCTCAGCCTTGTTGGCTGCCAACTCCCTGCTATAGTCACTCCAGGGATCTTTATGCTGGTATCCTCAGGCTGAATGTAGATAGAATTTAGGGAATCTTTGAACCTGGTGAGAAAAAGTTAACTAACATTTAACTAAACTAATATTTAGTTAACTAATGTGAACCAACACTTAGCACCTCCTTCAGTTATGTAATGTAAGTAACAAACCACAGTGGTGTTAGCAATACCTGAAGCTTTGTTACATATAGAAATCACACTTTTTTTCACATTTCATGACACTCATAGATATCTTCCGTAGGTGTCATTTGTGTTCAGCACGACTTTGAAAATGCAAGAGTTATTTGATACACTGCTAGATCTGATTCTTTAATGGGTCATTAAAGAAACACATAGAGTACTACATCACAAATTTAGTTTTCTAATATATCTATATATCTATAATTGTAATCTAAGTATTTTGTTTCATGCGTTGTTTCAATGAGGGAAGAGCAAGGCTCAGTACACTCCATGCAATGTGAAAAACTCAGAAGAGCCATCCCAGCACCAGAGCTCCATTTAGGGAGAACTGAGGCCTTTATTGGGATTCCATTGCAGCCCAGTTTCTCCCAGTGCCCCAGGATTTGATCCCCAGATCTCCAATAGATCCACATGCTAAACCTCATCTCAGATTCCACTTCTAGGGGACCCCAACCTGTAACACCCCCTCGCTCCATTCCAGGGCCCTAAGCTACCAGACCTTAAACGCAGCACTCTCTAATCTCCTGTTGACTGCCATATTTCAGCACCTACCACAGGGCCTGGCACAGAGGAGAAATTTAATAAATGTTTAATAAATGGAATTGAATCTGCGAATCTGACCAGCCTGCCAGCAGTACCCTTCTCCAAGTCTCTAATAAGAATCTTAGCAGTCTGTAGGCTGTTTTCCAATGAGTTGAGCTAAAGAACTTGCTACCTGTTAGGAACAAAAGCCACCTGGGGATGCTTTCTGAGAGCAGTTAAAGGTCTTGGCAAGGATCTCAAGACACACACTCAAGTACCAGATGGCCAATGCCAAGAGCTTTCTGCCCTGGGGATCGTGTCACCCCCAAATCCCAAGCCTCAGCGAGACCCAGTTGGAAGGATCTTGCCCTCATAGGCACTCAGGCCAGGACACTGTTCTCATCAATGCACAGAGGGCTGCCCAAGGGACTTCTTCCTGAGGCTAATTCTTAGCATTTAACCTTATTTTGCTTTATCATTAAATCTTCTAGTTTTTCATCATTTTGTTATTTTGCAGGTGCATGAAATTGCCATTTCGTTAGGTCATATGAGATCAAATATTGGCTATTTCTTATATTCAACCTAAGAGTATATGGTAGCTTAATTTTTAATCATAAACATTCATCTTATTGTATCAAATATGTCCTATTTGCTTTTTCATTATATCAAGTTATACCACTTTATTTTACCATTTTATCACTTTATTCTTTAAAATTTTTTTCTTTTTAGCTTATTGAAGATATCCAGAACTTTATCCTTTTAATCTTTTTATTTTAGCTCAATTTGCCATTTTATTAATTAATTAAAAGGATTAGCATATTCTTTTAATTTACTATCATTTGCTATCAGCACAGCAATCCTAAAGCTGGGCTTCTACCCGGTTCTCCCCAGAGCCCTTGAGGGCTGCTTGGAATGTGACAATTGGTGTCCCCCTTAGGAAGGGGTTGTGCTTTCCTCCTGTCCACCTCTGTGCAGGCTCAAGTACTCCAAATAGGAAAAGATCAGATATTAATATATGAGCTTGATGCTCTGTTTTAGAACAGTGATTCTTAACTTCAGCTATATACTCAAAACACCTGAAAATTTTATAAAATACCAATGCCCAGCCATTCTCAATTACATGAGACTCTTGGGGTAAGTCCAGACATCGATATCTTTTAAGCTCCCCAGGTTATTCCAATAGCAGTCAACTTTCAAATCCCTTGGTCTATAACTTTGCTATTCTAAATTGGTCTGTGGGCCAGTGACACCTGGGAACTTGTGAAAGCTATAGAATCTCAGGATTCACTACAGTTTTGTTGAATCAGAGCCTACATTTAGCAAGATCCTCAGGGGATTTGTGTGCATGTTGAACTTTGAGAAGCATTGGTTTGAAACACATTTTGATAGGCTTTGCATGTTAACCCTTCTTTTTTTTTCTTTGATGATTTGAGGATTCTGCATCTCAGATATTTGTAAAGTTAATCATTTCTATTCTTTTTAAATCTCCTATCAATAGGAAGGGATGATTTGGCTAATTCATGATAAAATATCTCTTTCCCAGGTAGGCTGAATTGTCTCTAGTGTAGGAGGTGGAGAGAGTTGAATTTACCAGAAGTCCTCCAGGTGAACATTATGTTTGTTTAGGTTTGCCTGAAGAAGCCTGCTGGGCCAGAACAGAGCCTCATGGGCAGAGTGACAGCAAATGCCAAGACTGGAGAGGAGGAAAAGCACTTCACTAAAACAAGGAAAGGAATTATTGGCTACTGAGAGGGGGCAGGAAAAAGAGAGAGAGACGGGAGTGGGAGAGAGAGAGGTAGGGGAAGGAGGGACACTTTCAAAATTAGTTGAAGATGGTGCATGATCCCTCAAACCTTCCATAAGAGTAATAAACTTTATGGGATGCATGTTGTGATGCATTTTGGGGAAAAAAAACAGTGAAAGGTCTGCATGTGTCCAGGTTTTTAACATACGGACAAGATAGACATTTGGTGTTTGGATGCAGAAACCAGGACCAAGAGCACCATGAGGAAAACAGCCGTCAATAATCCACAGAAGTCACTTAGAAGATGCTTCATCAGAGGCCGTGAAACTGGGAGTTAAGTCCAGTTTATTTTGATGTATAGGGGCAGGGACGCCTCAGCCAACAAGTGAGATAAATGTCCTACTTAATCCAGATTGCTGGAGATGAGAGAGGTCCCCACTACTGCCAAAGGCCAAAGGCTGCCTAGAAATTGCAGGCTGGCTTCACTTGGGTTTGTTTTGGAAAAACAGGCAATTCCCGGCTTCTCCCAGAAACTCTTATCTCCAAATAATATTTCCAACCATGTTTCTAATTCCCAGAGGTCCCTGAGGACAGTGAGGGCTCTGCTCCATCTGACCTCCAGCTCCCTAAAAGCAGGCGCCATGCTTGCTGTTAAGGCCTTGGCTGAGAAGGGCCAGGGCTTCCACCCATCAGTGGAATGCTGTACCTGGGGAGGAGTGTGTGTCTTCCTCTGAAGGGGAAAACTCAAGGCGAGGACTTGTTTCCCCTCACTGGGAGGAAGTTGGACACTGTCTCCAACTTCTGAACCTCCTCCTGGCTTTGTCACTCAAACAAACTGATCATGCCTTTGCTGCAAGATGTGGTAGCAAGAAAGCCTTCTTCCTCCTCCTCTGCTCAGGGCTAGCCTGACCTTCATAACAGTGCGCTTCTCTTCAGACTGCTCATGCCCAGCCAAAAACCATCAGCAGCAAGCTCACCGCTCTGGAGCCAGAGGTGGGTGTTTATAAAAATTGTCCAGATGCTTAATTCTCTTCTTCCAGAAAAGTCCTTCTGTCTGATCCAGGTTATGAATTTGTTTCAGAATGCTGGTCTTGAAAATCTTTAAAGAATACTTATCAATATCACCCAGAAGTTTTCCCCTTACTCACCCACTCTCCAAACCCTCAACAATTATGCTATTCCGGGTAGGTTTTAGGGTGAGTTTGTAATAATACATAGATATTTTCTTTTATATTTTTTCATTTCTTAATTGTGGTAACAATACACATTCCATACAATTTGACGTTTTTAAGTGTAAGTTCAGTGGCATTAATGTTCTGGGCTGTGATTTGGAGTATTCTGTGTCCTATTTCCAGCAACTGCCTGCTTTGTTGCATTCCTCTAATTTCCAATCTTATTTTTGCTTATAAGACAATGACCAGAATGATACTTTTTTTTTTTTTTTTGAGACAGAGATTGCCCAGGCTGGAGTGCAGTGGTGTGACCTCAGCTCACCGCAACTTCCACCTCCCGGGTTCAAGCAATTCTCCTGCCTCAGCCTCCCAAATAGCTAGGATTACAGGCACGCACCACCACACCCAGCTAATTTTTTGTGTTTTTAGTAGAGACGGGGTTTCACCATGTTGGCCAGGCTGGTTCCGAACTCCTGACCTCAGGTGATCCACCCACCTCGGCCTCCCAAAGTGCTGGGATTACAGGTGTGAGCCACCATGCCCAGCCCAGAATGGTTCTTTCTAATGAAAAGTTTACCTTCTAATCTGACTTAGGCTCAATATCTTCTCTGCTGTCTTCGTGTATCCACCCCTGACAGGGAAATATGTGCATCTCAGAGAATGCTCAATTATCTTTGGCTCTCTCTCTCTTTCTCTGTGTCTCTCTTGAAACAGGACCTGAGAGCTCAGCACTGACTCCTGCAATTTGATTCCTAGTCTGAATAGTTCTCTAAAGCATGTAGTATCTGCTTAAGTACAGAAGGAAAGAAAGGTATTCCTGGCAGGCACATCATGAGGCAGAACACAGTGTCAGCTAACTACAAATTTAGTGCTTGAGGCACGCTGTCTGGAATGGGACATAAAAGAGCTCTGAAACACAAATCTAAAGAGGGAAATTGGGATTAAAAATGAAGGTGCCAGAATAAGAGAACTAAGTGTTATCTTGAAGAAAATGGGGAGCCATGAGAGGTATAAGATCAGTCTAAATCAGTCTGAATAGAGAACAGTGTGTTCATAAAGACTTGCTGCAGTCTGAGTTTGAGAACCCTTGGGTCTAGGCTATCAGAGGTTACAGCAGGAGAGGAGGGACCCAGGGAGATTGTGGGTAAAACCCAGTGAAAGATCAATCTAAGGAAGATGACTAGTGACTGCGTATGGAGGAGAAGCAAGGACTTTAAGGAAATCAAGGTCCAGACACAGAGAGACTGAGAGAATGGCAGGGAGCAAGTCACACAAAGGGATATCCAGCTGAAGAATTGGCTTGGACAATGGAGCAGATATTTGCCAGTGCCTGTCCATCTCTCCACACCAAATGCTGCTCCTTAAAAGCCCCTGTGGCTCACTGCCTGGAGGCTTTCCTGAGTCAGGGAGCCCACTCAGCCTACATATAGGGCAAACTTAGAGTGCCTGAGAGTTAACATTCCCAGCCGCACCCGTCGAACCATCATGGACAGGGAATGGTGGATAAATACCCCACTCCTTCCCCACTCACATGGGAAAACTCTAAGGTGTGTGTCCTATACTGGCTCCCAGAGTTCTCCAGCAGCCTCAAGCCCCAGTTGCCCACATGGGAACTGACTTAATAGCACATTCTTCATTAGCTATCTTCCTTTCTCTGTCTACTGGAGTTTCCTCCATCTCCCAATTTAACCACTTACACCCTAATCCTTGTCTCTGGCCTGTTTCTGGGAACCCAACCCAAGGGCAGGCTTGGTTGAGAACATAATCATCCTGTACTACCCACCCCTCCCCCAACAATCTTCCAGAGTCTCTTGGCTTCCCCTCAGGGTGTAATCAGAGCCACTGGGCATCCGCTAGAGGTGTCCAACACCAGGCTCCTAGGCCCTTCTCTTTCCCACTCCCAAGTTACTCTTCCTAGTCTGGTTAGCCAGCCAGAACCAAAAAAAGATGCTACAGATTTGGGCACTGAAGGGCTCCCACTGGGGGAGGCAGATGGCATTCTCTTATTAACTTGTCATGATGCCAAGATTGATTCATTTCTCTTCATCGGACTGGAGTCTTTGAGGGTGGTCTGTTCACCACCACAGCAGCACTCCCCACTTCCCAACTCTAATGCATCGAAGAAGAATATATTGTTTTGATTAGAGGAAAACGGGAGTGATGTTGGTGCTGCTGGTGACAGTGCTGTGGCCTCCAGCTCCCCAGCCAGAATCACAGAGATGAATGGCCAGGGTTTGTTCATTAACTTAATTTGTTGCTGAGAAAAATAACACGTGGGCTATTTGGCTCCTCTCTAAATCAACCATTGAGGGGAATTAATGCTGACTCCAGGGGCTTATGGGAAATTAGTAAGGTGAAGAGAGGTTGGCATGAATGCAAAGAAGAGATGCCAGACCAGTGGGACATGGTAACTAAGCTCAATCTCAGTCACTCCCAGGCTGAGCCAGGCCCTGAAGTTGGAGGTGCTACCACAGGGAAGCTGTCTTAGCTGTTGAAGGGGGTGGGTTGCAGGCTCTTGGATGAGGTTCAACCATTCACTCAATCTGGCCCCTGACTTTGGGCTACCCATTCCTCAGCTTCTGTCAGGGATGATGACAGAACGTGCCCTTGCTTGGCATCATGGTGACTCCCCAGCTGGCATGCTGCCTCTCAGTCCCTTCCCTGCCCCTCTCTAGGGACCACAGGCATATTCCCGGTTCTCCTCTAAGCCGTACAGAGTCCACAAGAGGCTAGAATAGGGCTGGGCAGAGATATCTCAGGGCCTCTCAGCATAACCATACCTCAACACTACTTCTACTCCATCATGATCTTTCCCTGATTATACAGGCCACTCTAGAGTCCTCTGCCAGGTGGGCAACAGGGCACTCCCCTCTGCTCAGGAGTTTCCAGGTGTCTCCATCAGCCGCACACATCTACAACCATCTGGACTTTTATCTAGAGGGCAGCCAGGGAGCAGGTCTCAATGCCCCAGTTCCCTCTTCCCCAGCCCATAGATCCTTACCGAGCCCAGAAAGAGTTTCCACATCCCCATCCCCTCCAGGTGACACATAGTCCATCCCACCCTAAGCCATGACTTAGAATGGGATGCCATGGAACCTTCCCAATAAGTATAGAGAAGCTTTGGGGAATTTAGAAAGCCATTTTATAGCCCAACAATGCTTAGCTCTGGCAAGCACAAATCCTTGCCTTCCACTATTGCCCTGAAAAGGGCTTTCTAGATAGCTTATATTGAGTGTGGAAGGCTAAACTCTAAGTCTTCTGTCCTCCCTGGGTTCTGGTTTCACCTGTGAATCATAGAACGGAGGCTTAGGAACAGCTAGAACTATCAGTGACAAGGATTACATCCGTGTGTGGAAGGGTTAGCATCATGTCTGGGCTGATGTAGGCTTGGGAATGACCTTGACCTTTCTCTTCTTATTGCCCTGTTTCTGCAGAGCTACAGGATAAATATAAAATCTTGAGTTGGCATTCAGGCCCTAGGCCTCACTGACTCAAGCAGTGTAGAAAGATGGCAGAAAGCAAAGGCTGTGGTTTCTCTGTGTCAAGGTGACCCAAAAGTGCTGGGGCTACTTGAGGCCTACGAGGCTGTGCAGTTGGGTAACTGCTGGCCTTGCTGAGGAGAACATGACGTTGAGCTCCCTGTATCCCCTTTTCTGTATCCTTCTGTAAAGCTAAGTAACTGCCATGACTTAAATATCCCCTCTAAAACTCATGCTGAAACTTAATCCCCAATGTGGCAGTATTGGGAAGTAGGACCTTTAAGAAGCTCTGCTCTTAGCTAGGCGTGGTGGCTCACGCCTGTAATCCCCAGCACTTTGGGAGGCCGAGGTGGGCAGATCACAGGGTCAGGAGATCGAGACCATCCTGGCTAACACAGTGAAACCCTGTCTCTACTAAAAATATAAAAAATTAGCCGGGCGTGGTGGTGGGCGCCTGTAGTCCCAGCTACTCAGGAGGCTGAGGCAGGAGAATGGCATGAACCCGGGAGGTGGAGCTTGCAGTGAGCCGAGATCGCGCCACCGCACTCCAGCCTGGGGGACAGAGCGAGACTCCATCTCAAAAAAAAAAAAAAAAAAAAAGAAGCTCTGCTTTCATGAATGGATCAATCCATTTATAAATTAATGGATTAATGGGTCATCGTAGGAGGGGAACTGGTGGCTTTATAAGAAGGAGGAGAGAAACCTGAGCTAGCACGCTCAACCCCTCACCATGTGACGCTCTGCAAAGAGAGTCCCCACCAGCAAGAAGGCTCTCACCAGATATGGCCCCCAACTCTGGACTTCTCAGTCCCCATAACTGTAAGAAATAAATTCGTTTTCTTTATAAATTACGCCAGTTTCAGGTGTTCTGTTATAAAAATCAGAAAATGAACTAAAACAGTAACTACAGTAAACACAAGCCAATTGCATCTTGCGAGTCTCATTGCCAACTTGAATCATAACCATAATCACAGCCAATAGCATCACCATCTGAACACAATCAGGGCCGGTTCTCTAAGTGCTAAGCTGCTCCAAGGGAGGCACCATAGTCCAAGAAGAGGTTGTTTCTTCCCCACCTGACCACTGGCATCTACAGCCCTGCCTGCAGCTATACAGGGAGACTTTTCCCAGCTTTTTTCCCGGAGGGGAGTTCCCTGGAGTGAGTCCCATGACTCTTGTTTTCCTTGCAGACTATACAGAGCCAAGCCTGGGAATGGGCACCCAGCCTCTCGCTGACTGCCAAAGAGACACCCCTGGCTGATTTGGTCTTAGGAAGTGTTCTGCAGAAGGTACAACCTCCACTCACCGAGAAGACAGCAAACCTGTTGTGGTCTTCAAAATGAACATCTTCTCTTACATATGCTCAGCGCTTCACAGTTTGCAAAGCACTTTTACATTCATCATCAATGGGATCCATCCTAAATAATGTGAGGCATCTTTGTTCTGGTCTCTCTTGCTGCCTTAGGCAGCCAAGGAGGGAGTTTTCCAGGCCTCTCTTGCTGGTTGCTCTAAGTCACTGCACTTGCTCAAGCTGGCATGACACGTAGGAGGTCATGGTGAGGTTTGGAGGCTTCCTGGTCTCCAACCTCAAAAACGTTCCAGGCTGCCAGCTTGATCTTGAGAGGAGAGAGGCAAACCAAGCCCCAGCGTCAATAAGCTGACATCTGAAAGGGCAGGATGGCTACGATAGTTTACAGCCTTGAGAAATGAACTTAGCTCATGTTGTTATCAAGAAATGCCACAAGGGGACCCTGGAAATTTCGGCAGTAGTTCAGCCTCTCAGCTGGCAAGACAGCATCTAGGGAGCCTGGACCTCCATCTGCTGAGCGCCATCAGAGCCAAAAAGCAATGGGAGTAGCACAGACACAACTGTGATTGTGTGTGTTTGTGCATGTGTGCATACACAAACATGCACACAATTATGTGTGTTTATGTTTATAAGTGAGCCTGAGTGTGTATATAAGCATGTATGTACGCAAGTTTGTGTGTGAATATATGTGTAAGCATGTGTGAGGTGTGTGTATGCATGCGCACGTGTGTGTGTGTGTAGGAGTCTCCAAAGGCCAACTTCAAACACACCTGAGACTTGAAAATCCAGTTGGTATTAGTGATAAGGAAAGTAAGAGACGGTCTCTCCCACCTTTAAAGGAGCAGACGAGGACCTTGGTGAGATCCTCAGCCCATGCCAAGATCAAGCCTGCAGCCCTTGCTCTTGGAGACCATCAACCCTGTGGGGGAGGTGGATACACCAAATAACTCAGATCTTAGGACTTCATGGGGACTGTTTCAGTTCAGAAACTGAGTCAGGGTGATGGAAGAACTTCCACAGGCGAGACTGTCCATGTGGCTGTCGGCCTGAGCCAGAGCTAATAGAATGTGGGAGAAGTCATCCTGCTTGCCAGGGACCTCTGACTGCTACTGAGTCAGCCCATGAGATAGCAAACAGGACAGAGATCAGGAGCATGAAAGGGTCCAAGCCAGGTTCTATGTGAGAGAGAATAAGAATAAGGCTCGGTGAGGGCTAGGAAGGCAGGGACATGCTGGCGGGAGGACTGGCAAGAAACTCCCAACTCCTGTGGACTCAGCCCCTCCAAGAGGTAGCGTGCCGAGGCTGGTAGGTCTGCTGTCTGTGGGCAGCAGTGACTACAGAGCCGGGGTTCTCAGCCTCCACCTCCCTGCTTTCCATCAGTCACAGCCTGGCAGGAAAAACCATAAACCCTGAGGCAAAATCGTCTCTAACATTGTTGGGTGGTAATACGAGAGTTCAGGGCCTCCTCCTGGACTTGCAGCCCACCCTCTTCTCGCACAAGGCTCCACCCACACCATAAAGGGGTTTCACACGCACACATGCTGACCACTGAGCCTTCAAGTCCAAGCTCTGTTCACAACCCCTCCTTCCTGGGAACACTTACCAGTGGCTCACTTTGAGAGGACAACCCCAGAGGAGATGCCCACACAGGACATGGAAGTGGGCTGAGGCCTTTAAACAGGGAATTCCCGAGTCCTGCATATCCTGAGCATGGCTGGGGTGGGGAATGGAGGCGGCAGGGTGGCCTGAACTCCTGGTGGGCAGTTCTCCTTGGCACAGTGCAGGAGGGAGAAGGGAGGTCCCTCTAAAGCAGAGCTGCTCAAATGGGATCCACAAAGCAGCGCCAGTCCAAGAGCTGTTTGTTATGGGCTGTAAAAGGAGAGGGGTCTCACTGTTATCTAAGACTCCTTCCAACTATCAAGTTCATAATTTGAGGTTCTTTGTGCTTCTGGTCTGAGATACTGTTTTAGGACTAAGCCTGCAGATTTAGTATACCAAGAAATGCAGTGAAACTTTCAGATAACACGGGAGGCCTCACAGAATGCCGCCCACCCCAACCTACTTGCAGCAAATTGCATTTGCTCTTGTGGGCCACCCCACATGTTAATTTTCCATCATTCTGAACAACTTTACTGTCTTTGTTAGGTCTGAGCCATCCACGTTTATTTGTATTTCCAATGCCCTTGGGAAGGATAGTATATTAAGTATGTGATGGCTCCATGACTTAAAAAAAAAAAAAAGTGGAAATCAATAGGCTTGTCTATGAACAAAGGGTCCTGGGAACCACAGAGAGAGAATCAAACAGGGATGGACATGCTCTTGACAGGGAGGCCCAGGCTGAGAGGAGGAGACAGCGGGGTCCAGGACGGGGGGCAAATAAGAGTCATGGAATATTCTCAGCACTGTTCACACTACATTGCACCAGCAGTGCTGCTCTGCTGGGCCCAGGCATTCCTCTGACCTCTGCTTCTTTGCTTTCAATCCTTTTCCCTGCACCAAAACTTATCTCCCCAGTGTCCCATCTCTCAGCCACTCAAGGTTCTCTCTCTCTGCCACTGACTGACGGTGAAGGATGCAAATGGCCTAACCCAAGATAATGTATGATCAGCAGTGTAGGGCAATGACAGAGCACTGGGCACGGCACTTGGAGGACACAGCAGAGCTCTATTCCCTCCCCTCCAATGGCCTGGTGGGCCACTGTACTGTTTGTAACAGTGGTAGATTGCAAAAAGGACCAAAAGTTGTTCCCCTCCTTGTATCAACACCCTTGCAAAGTCACTTTGCTGCTCTATCAAGAGGTAAAGTCTTCCTCCACCTGTTGAATCTGAGCTTAGCTGTGTGACTTGCTTGACTAACAGAACAGTAATAAATGTGATGCAAGAAGTGACATGAAAAGTGTTCATGCATTAGAATTTTCTTTCTTGCTGGTCTTGGGAAACCCACAGCTACCACTCTGTGAATAAGCCTAGGCTAGCCCTCTAGAGGATAAGAAATCATGTAGTTCAGCCACGCCCATCACACCAGACAACAGCCAGCCAATCACATCATGTGAGTGAGGCCATCAAATATTAGTGACAAATGAGTGACTGAAGACATAGGAATGTGCCCAGGTGAGAGTAGAATAAGAATTACTCAGCTAAGCCTGGTTAATTATCAACTCATAGAAATTATGAACTAAGTAAATAGTTGTTGTTTTAATCCACTAAGTTCTGGGGAAGTTTGTTATGTGGCCATAGCTAACTGCTACAGTGACAAAGTTGCACTATCAATTGGAAAAGCAGAGAAGCATAGGGGCAGAGTCCTTGGATTGAACTTTCCATTACTCATGTGGATGATTCACTAACCCCTCAACCCACTCCCCTCACACTTTAATTTCCTCATCTGTAAAATGGAGGCAGAGTAACTGACTTTCTCAGATTGTGTTGCCTGTTCTTATGTGACCTCAGGGCGTTGTCTGTCCTCAATCCTTCAGGTTTCCTGTCTTGCAGCAGAAACCCCCTTGCCCCTACCGCCACTTGATCCCATGGGACTCCAAGAGGATGTGTGATTTCATCACAGCCCAAGCACCCCGGCTCCATGGCCATTCTGGAGAAGGGGGGATCAGAGGAGCTTGGTATTTAGTGGGTGTGAGTGTGGGAACAGTTTACATAAATTTAGAAAAAGCAAAACACAAACTTCTCCCCTGGGAAAGAGTAAGAAGGCAACACTCAGCTCCACTTGAAAGAAAAGTTTTTGAAGCAGGAACGTTTATTTAGAGAATAACTAAGCCCCTGAATCAACAAATTGGGAGCCTTATCTCTGAGTGTGTGGGTCATTCCGACTCTCCCTGCTCTGCTGGCCACCCTTGGCCAGGCTGGACCTCAGGGCAGAGGCCTCGGGCCAAAGGTGGCGGAGGAGGCTGGAGAACAAGGCCCTAGGGACCGAGCTGTGGGTCCTGCATGTGCTGAGAGTCACGGGTGAAGAGGAGAGGTGCCAGGGAGAGGGATGCTGCTGCTGCCCCACTGGCTTTTATTTTTAAAACTCCTTATCATTTCTCTGGAGCTTATTTTTCAAAAACAAAAAGAAAAGAGAAGAAAATGCCTGGGGTTGAGTGATGAAGCAGGCCTAGGCTGTGAGCCACTTTCATCCTTCTTTGCCTCCTGGGACCTCTGCCCCCACACGTCATTGCTCTGTACAGGCAAAAGACAGCATATTTTCTACTCTAGTTTACAGATTTTTGGGGCCTGGCCAAATGCAGGTAGGAGTCGTTGAAGTAAACCTTATATTGTAGAAGTTAGATTAACTCAAATGGTAAACACAGGGTAATTACACCATTTTCTGAAGAATTTATTGTTTGACCAAGGGACCAGATATTCTCCCTCTTTAATGGGATGACAAGAGCACCACATTAGACACTGAAGATTTTACTAAGATGAATCTACTTTTTGGAGCCTATCTTGGGGACCCAAAGCAAGAGTGTCAGCTGGCAGCAGCACACAGGGACAACAGCTAAGAGGCACTAGGGGTCTATAAGACCCATCTCCAGGGAAAAGTTTAGTGGGCTCTGGCAAGAACCCTCTGTCTATAAATCCCTTCCCAACCTGCTTCCTAAACCACCCTCTGAGAGACTTGCCATCCTACTTACAGGGAAAGACCTCTGTCTTATTTAGGCTCCACCAAAAGCAAACCCCAAGACAAGGATTTTAGAGCAAGTTATTTATTGAAAGTTATTCTGGTAAATACTGATAGGGAAGTGGGGAAGTGAAACGGGGAATAGAAGAGAAAGTAGTCAACACAGTGTGCTAACCAGAAAGTTATTGCTATTGGGCAACTGGAGCCCAAATACACTGGGGAACTCTGAGGATAATGTAGAACATGACAGAGAGCTCTCCCACCCAAGCGGCTAGGAAGCTGGGGTATTTATACACCAACTTCCACTTGCCATTGTTGAGAATTACTCTGGTAGGGTGGGAGTTAATTCTCCAGTACTTCCAGCTGCAGGGGATGAATGTACCTCAGCTTCCAAAGAAAGCCCTTAGGCAGAAAGATTCAGGAGCTGGCAGCTAAAAGTTGTAGGGCCTGCATGTACCTCAATGGTATGACCCACGATCATGGACAGCGCACCAGCAGTGTCTGTCGCATCCCACTTCCTTAGAGAATTCAAGGGAGAAAGAGAGACAAGGATGGGAGAACATAAAGAGCCCAAAAGTGAGGTGGCTAAAGATGAGTGTTGGCCCCTTCCCAGTGTTCTTGTAATGCCTGTCCAAAGCTGAATCTATGGGACACAAAATCACTAAAAGATTTTTCTGTGCCATCAGCAGTAAGATATTAAAATATAAGTAAAGTATTCAAAGCCATAGACCAACCCCACCCACCCCACCTACTGAAGGGAGAGATTTATTTCAGAGAATTGTTACTGAACACCAGGGCTTCAGTCTAGGTCCCATTGTTTGCCACACAGAAAGCCAATCACTGAGACAATGCTATTGTCAGGAAAGAAGGGATTATTATATCACAGGTGATGTCAGACAGGAGCCAAACCTCAAATCCATCCCTCCTCCCTGACTCAACTTAAAGGTTTATACAGCCAGAAAGGAAAACAGAAGGGCAAGGAAGAGGAGTTGGCCAACAGGGAGCAGGAGTTTTCATTGTTCAAATGTAAGTTTCTCAAGCTGCAGTTCTATAGGCTTTAGTTCTATGGGTTTCAGCTCTGTGGCTGGTTGGAAAATTGGGCCAGTTTCAGAATAAGGCAGGGAAGGATGAGGACACTGAAAACAGAAATGTCACTTTGGTGCAGGAGGAAGGGCACTAGACTAAAAGGCAAAGGCCCTGGGTTCCAGTTCTGACCCTTTTTTTACCTTACTTTGTTCTGTTTCTGCACCTCAGCATCCTCATCTGTGAAATGAACCCATTAGATGAGTCAGTTGATCCTTCAATTCTGCAAACACTGTATAGTCAGAGATCAATTGCAGAAAATGGGAGCTACTTGAACTGCATTAAGTGAAAATGGATCTAATCCAAGAAACTAAGAAAACTTTTGGAAAGGTTGAAAGAGCCATGACACCAAAAACAAGACTCAGCAACAACGCCCAAAACAACTCCGCAAGACAGTTGCTTCCTATGCCACAAACACAGGGACGCATCACCTTACTGGTGTCAGGGTCAGAAGTTTCCTGTGCAACCACCTGTTTAGAGCAAGGTCACACTCTGTAGACATCGACCAAAAAAAACATGGAACGTGGTTGTCCTGAGCCCTGCCTCTCAGCACCTATGAAACCAATGACCACCTACTAGAATGCACTACAGGAAACTCAGTGTTTCCATGGGCATTGCCTGCTTATCAGCAGAACCAATGAAAGCAACAGAAAGTTAGCCTTAATCCCCTTCAGAACCCTGGCTTCAGGGGCATCTGGCACATATGGATTTTTATTTTCCAGCCCCTTCATATTAAAAGGTCACTAGAAGGAAATTGGAATGGATGGTGAGTCCAGTGCACTGTGTCTACCCCAGGTGCTTTGTGCCAGGCACTGTACAGGGCACCAGAGATTCAAAGAAGCCCTAGACTCCAAGGAGCTTAGGGCCTAACTGTGTAGTCTAGAAGTGCAACACATTGGTGCTATTGAGAGTTAAAAGTCAGAACTCATGATGGAGCCTCAGTCATGAAAGAGCCCAAGGCAGGCAGTTGCCCCCAGAATGATAAGACAACGTAAAGAGAGAAAAAGTAGCTTGAAGCTATTCTTGAAAAGTCAGTCAGGGAGAGAAGCAATCTAAAGGGAAAGAAGAGTAGGAATAAAGGTATAGAGGAATCTGTAGTAATTTGAGAAACAGAGCAGAGCTGCATGATGTGCAGGGCCAAGACAGGGGTGCATGGGACGGGGAGTTACGAGCTGCAGAGGGGAGAGGTAAATTAAGCACGGTTTTTGCAAGCTATGCTGAAGATCTTAGAAGGGCCAACGGACAACAGTGAAAGATTTTAAGCAGGAAAGAAACATGGACACCATCAGACTGGTGTCAGAAACCCTGTAAAGAGAAACTAGAATTCCAGAAATCCAAAGACAAAGCCAGGAGATTCTAAAGATAGAGAGAGTAAGAAGAACAAGGAGAAGTGGGCAGAGCCATAGTGAACTAGGGCCACACACGACACTTCAGTGAAAGGGTGGAGGTTCACCAAGCACAGCTCCTCTTAGTGGTTCATGTAGCTGAGTCAGAGTGAGAAGCTACTGGTCAAAAGTCAGTGCCCAGTGCAGCATCACTGAGCAAGAACAGCCTCATAACAGCTCCCTTCATGGAACCCCTGCCTCACCTAAAATGAATGGAAAGTTCTAGAGGTGAGGAGCAAATCTGGGAAGAGAGGATGGAGAAAGGGGACAAGAAAAATGGGGGAAAGGCAAAAATTGGTGACTCTGTGTTTTCCCAAACCACACTGACTTGCATCAAAACACAGTCTCAACTCAGACCCCAGTCCACATCCCTACTATGAAAACTGGCCATGGTCCCTCAAATCATGAGTGGTTTTCCATGATCCCCTTGGACTTGCATGGAGACCCATGTAGACTTTCAGGCTACCCCTTGCCCTCAGTCTTTGGGAAGTTTATTTCCACCATTGAAAAAAAAACTGCCTCCTTTTTCCACCTCCCCCATCCCACTGTGCAGGAACCTTGTCCTTCCTTAGCAAAACATTTCCCCAAGCCCGCAAAAGAAAGGGCAGGCACCCTGGAAGCAGAGTCTGAGACAGATTTGGATGCACTTAATTTATTGGAAGAGGGATATCAGGAGAAAGGAAGTGAGAAGAGCAGACAGGGCAGAGGAAGGGCCTGATCAAGGATTTGGCTCAGCTGGAACCTAGCAGGGAGTTCTGAGTGTGAATTGACCCATCCTGAGAAAAGAGCACCAGTCTTTTGTACCACCATGTCAGTCATTGGCTGAAGGCTGCTCTTCTTCAGCAAGAACACATAACCTCCCAGAGAAGGTGGCTCCCCCTCAACTAATGGCAATTTTGAGGAGAAGAAGCCCCCTCTAGCAGCCAACACGCAGAGCAGATGGATAAATGGTGCTGCTTCCTGGGAAACGGCATCTGGGAAGGGCACCAACAGCATCTAGGGCAGGGGAAATGCTCATTTCATCAAGCTTGTTGCACTGGATCAGTTTTTCCTCTCTATGCCTGTTTTCCAGAAGACTCTCTGCAAGAGCTGAAGGAGCCCTGACCTTGGGGTGAATAAGTGAAGAGCAGAATTGGTCCCACTCATCTCTTTCACATGGCCATGGGTATGCCATGAATCCAAGCAGGTCTTCTGGGACACAACTTCTCCAAGCAATGAGCTCACCACTCCCTGAGCCTCCACTCTCTGGCTGAGCCCAGGGATCCATGCTCTGGCTGAGTCCAGGCCCCATGAACCTGCACCCCCCACAGCTTCTTCTCCACAGCAGAGTCCAGTGGCCCCACTGATATTTGTCTTGGCTGCCCCAAGGACTAGCAGAGACGTTCCTCCCAAGTTGATAGGGCCCTTTTAGACAACTTTGCATAAGCACAGTTCTTCTAGCTGAGCTGCAAGCAACCATATGAACTGCTTCTCTAGCTCAAGATATGACATGAGCGTCTTCTTTCATATTGTTTTTAACTGATCATTCATGTCCTGCTATGGGAAGTTTAGCATCTCTCTCAAGGATGCTCCTCCTCACCAATTTTCTAAGAACTGCAGAGTCTGAATCAGTTTACGGGGGCATCACTGCCACTTCCAAATGCAAATAAAAGGGAGAATTGGAGTGCCACCAATTTCTGAGGCTACAACTTTTCATTTTTGTCAGTGTCAAAGACTGGGCCAATACATCTTTGTCCCCTGCTAATGAATGTTCTTGGCCCAGATGCAGTGACGGCCCTGTGTTTGAGATACCAGGTTGCAGCTATCTTGGTTTACAAGGCCGCACGCACTCATCACATCCCAAAGACTACTGTGATAGAGGGCTCCCAGCCACACACATGTCAGACCAGAGCAAGTTCTCCCTCACCAAGGTCCCTAGGTCTTCATGCTTAACCCCATCCTCGGCCTAGTTCATTCCAACCCTGGAACCTCATTGTCCTTCCCAACCCCTGGGCTTGGTTCACACCAACAGATTTCCCTAACTCTGAATATCCAGGAACAGCAGTTGGAATCTTTATGCCTTCTCTCTCAGAGGATCCTGAGGCCCATATGCAAATAAATTCTTCCACCCACCCAAAGATCTGTATACCAAGAGGAAGCTTCCCCTCAGTCTCGAAAAACAAAAGACTTATGACAGACACTTTATGGTTGTCTTCTATGCTGTTCATGAAATATTTCTGGTTCTTCCTTCTTTCTGGTACAAATAGAATTGCACTTCTCTGCCCATTTGTGGTTGGGATGTGGCAATGTGACGAGGTCTGGTCAATGAGGTGGAAGTACAAGTGACACATATGACTAGGCTGGCTATATAATTTACAGAGCCAGCTGGCGCAATGGCTCACACTTGTAATCCCAGCATTTTAGGAAGCTGAGGCGGATGGATCACTTGAGCCCGAGAGTTCAAGACCAGCCTGGGAAACATGGCAAAACCCCATCTCTCCAAAAAATTGTTTAAAGATTAGCCAGGCATGGTGGTGCGTATAGTCCCAGCTACTCAAAAGGCTGAGGTGGGAGGATCGCTGGAACTCAGGAGGCAGAGGTTGCAATGATTCGTGATCACATCACTGTACTCCAGTCTGGGCAACAGAGCAAGACCTTGTCTCAAAAAAAAAAAAAAAAAAAAAAAAAAAAAAAAAAAAAATAGATATTTCTGATCAAGAAAGTAGGACACAAGTGAAAAACAACAACAAATTACTTTTTCAATATAACCCACAGGTGCACAGAAAAAAAAACTTAAAAAATAAATTTACAGAGTCAAGTGCAAAATGAAAGTAAGAATCTTCTTGTTCAAAAATGTATTAATAATTTTGAGATGGCAACAGCAGAGCATTAAAACAAGCTTCTGGGCCAGGCGCGGTGGCTCACGCCTGTAATCCCAGCACTTTGGGAGGCTGAGGCGGGCAGGTCACGAGGTCAGGAGATCGAGACTATCCTGGCTAACATGGTGAAAACCCATCTCTGCTAAACATACAAAAAATTAGCCGGGCGTGGTGGCGGGCACCTATAGTCCCAGCTACTCGGGAGGCTGAGGCAGGAGAATGGCGTGAACCCAGGAGGCGGAGCTTGCAGTGAGCCGAGATTGCACCACTGCACTCCAGCCTGGGCGACAGAGCGAGACTCCATCTCAAAAAAAAAAAAAAAAAAAAACAAGCTTCTGAGAATGGAGCCCTGTGTGACTACCCAAGAGTTGCATGCCCATGAAGCTGGCTCTGCATATCACTTCTGGGGTGGTGCATTTCATTACCTGCATAACACAGTTCTGAGATTTTCCCTTTCCTTTGGCAAGGAAACCAGCAACATTTGAGATTGTGGCTTCTCCGTCAACCAAAGTCCGTGAGAGATGCAATGAGCAGAGCCCACCTACTCGCCCACCCATGATGGACATGTAGTGTAGCACGAAATAAACCTTTGTTGTTGGAGTTGTTTGTTATTGCAGCATAAAGTTACCCATCCTGATTGATGCATGCCCTAACCCAGGACAAGAAGCTCCTCTTTGCCACATGTTTACCCAACAAAACAACCACTCACACACACTTTCCAAGACCAAAAAGACAAGGTCTATCCCTTCCTGTCAATCTGATGAGCAACTAGTTCCATCTCTGCATAAAAATCTGGACTTGATTATGAACCACTTGTATAACTTTGGTGTTCCACAGAGTGTCTGACCCAGAAAAATTGGAATTCTAGACATTCTAAGTATTTTGAAGTTTGCCATTAAAAAATCCATGGACTTTTATTACACCCTACATGAGAAATCCCAACACAAATAGTCCTAAATAAAAAGGAAATGTGTTAACTCATAACTGGAAAGACAGAGGTAGGGTAAGCTGTGACTTCATTTCTTGGAGATTCCTTAGGCTCTGCCTCCTCTGTGAAGACTTTTTTCTTATGCTCCTGAGGGTGGCAAGATGGCGCCCAGCAGCAAGTGGGGTAGTGTCCTTTGTTCAAAGTCTGGAGGACACAGAGAACCTTTCATCTGACAATTAAAGTCCTTCCCTTCAGCCTTATTGGACCAAACTAGGTCATATCTCTACTCTCAGACAAATAACAGTTGCTAGGGGAATGCCAAGGGCTGATTGCTCCATTCATCAACATTTAGTGAGCATTTATTGAGTAGGAGATGTTATTCTAAGCTCTGTGATGGCAGGAACTTAAATATGTGTTCTGCAGACATATATTGAGAAAGAAAGGATAGGTTTTCTGTGAGTGGCTTAGACTAGTCAGAACCACCCCACTCCCTTCCTGTCCCCAGCTAAGTCTGGGATGTGCGTCCTTTACTTACTTACATGGACTGAGTGGAGGAGGAAGGGAGGATACCAGCACAGTGTTGGGGTTCTGCCAGGAAATGGAAAGGGTGGTGGATATTGGGTGGACAATCAACACTGCCTACTCTATTCCTCTTTCTAACAAGACATCTTTCAAAACAGTGAAATCTAATTTTTCTCAAATCTGCTAACAAGTTGCCATAGCTCTCTCCTCGATCAAACCAGCTCCTCTCCTTAATAGACTGTCACCTTTCACTGTTCTGCCACTCCCACCTGCACCAGCCAAGCCCTTGAGACCTGTGTACTCCTTCTTCCTAACTCTCTGCCTTGACCCAAAACAACCTCTTCGGACCTACCTCTTTCAAGGTTTGGCCATAACACCAGGCTCAAGCATGGAAGGCCCTCTGCCCTCCACTTCCAATTACTGATTTTAATAATTATTTAACTGTAAAGCTAATACCCACTCATTATAGAAAATCTGAAAAGACAGAGCAGTTAAATTACTAAAAATAATTATTCTCACCCAATAAATCTTTAGCCTATATTCTTCCAATCTCATTTCTATGTATTTTTACAAAGTCAAGATCGTGATGCATATATAATCTTTAGCTTGACTTTTGCTATTCATACAGTATTTATAGAATATAGTGTTTCCCCATATTACAAATATATATAAATATTTTATAGATTAACTCTCATCTATTCTCAGATAGTTTATAATTTTATTCAATCTTTCTTTTTCTGTTGAACATTTAATTTATTTCCAGTTTCTTGCTATTATGATAATGACAAACATTTTTACACGAGGGCTGCTTTCATTACATTAAATTGTCTCCTTAAAATAGATTCCCAGATATGGAATCACTAAATCATTAGATATGAAATTTCCATAGCTTTTCGTACATATTATAAAAATGTTGCAGAAGATGTTGCATTGTTGACACTCCCATTTGCAATGTATGAGAAAGGTTGTTTTACTGCATGTATTAGTTTCCAATTGCTGCTGTAACAAATTACCACAAATTCAGGGGCTTAAAAATTACACAGATTTATTCTTTTATGGCTTCTAGAAGCAAGAAATTCAAAATCAGTTTCACTGGGATAAAGTCAAGGTGTCACAGGGGTGGTTCCTTCTGAAAGTTCTGAGGAAGAATCTATTTCCTTGCCTTTTGTAAATTCTGGAGGCCATTTGCATTCCTTGGCTGGTGACCCCTTGCTTGCATTACTCCAACATCTTGCTTCCATCATCACATCTCCTGCCATTCTTCTGTAGACAAATCTCTCTCTGCCTCCCTCTTATAAGGACACTGTAATTACATTGAGGACCTGCCTAGATAATCCAGGATATCTCCCCATCCCTGAATCCTTAACTTAATCACGTCTGCAGCATCCCTTTTGTCTTATAAAATACCTGCTGTGGTTTGAATGTGTCCCCCCAAAACTCATGTGTTGGAAACTTTATTCCTAATAAAACAGCGCTGAGAGGTAGACCTTTAAGAGGTAATTAGGTCATGAGGGCTCTGACTTCATGACTGGATTAATGCTTTCATATTAGAATAAATTAGTTATTGCAGGAGTGGGTTTCTGATAAAAGGATGAGTTCGGCCCCTTTCCCCTCCCTCTTTCACACTCTCTTCCCTTTCTTCCTTCCACCATGGGATGACACAGCAAGAAAGCTACAAGATAATGCAGCAAGAAGACCAGATGCTGGTACCTTCATATACCAGCCTCCAGAACTTTCAAAGCATAAATTTATTTTCTTTATAAGTTACCCAGTCTGTGGTATTCATTTATAGCAATATAAAACGAACTAAGACAGAAATTTTCATAGCTTCCAGACATTAGGACATGAATATCTTTGGAGGCCATTAGCCTACTGCAGTACACCCTCATCTACATCAGGAAATATCATTATTCTTTTATTTTGGACTCATTTGATGGGAGGGACATAAAACACCAATGACAAGAGAATTTGCATTTTATTATTTTAGACAACTAAATGTTCTCTTTTGTGACTTGTCTACTCATCTATATGCCTGTTGGGATATTAATATCATGCTTGCCAAATCAAGCATCAGTTTTATGTATCAAGAGCATCAACCTTTAGTTTGTTGTGCATATTTCGAATACTTTTCTCCCAGTTGATTGATTGGTATTTTAACGTTCATGTGTTTTCAGCGGCTATGTTTCTTTTATATCCTTTTTGTGATTTATTTTTTAGCTTATGTAAAGTTTTTACTTTTACAGTTCTATGAGTTTTGACAAATGCATAGAGTTAATAGAACTATTCTGTCTTCCAATTGTGGTAGTGTTTATACTCTTTCATAACTATTTTGATTTTTGTTGAGTAGACACAGGAAGAGCTACAGACAGAAATTTTAAATGTTATTTAATAAAATTTGTAACTTTTCTTTTACGATTTTGTTCAACTCTTTTAACCTTACCAAGTATTCCCCAGTAGAGTTTTTTTGTGCTTTTATAGTCTTTTTTATATCATTTTGGTTCTTTAGTCCATTAAAATTTATTTTAGTGTGCAGTAAGATGAGACTTGAAATTGATTTTTTTTCCAAATTGCTAAACTATCTTTCCAGCACCATTTATTGAATAATGCATTTCTTCCCCACTGTTCTATGATTCTTCCCCTGGGAGACATTTAAAGGTACAATTTCAGAAGGCTAAATAAACTCTCATAGTTTTTTAAACACTAAATTTTCTTGTTCTAAAGTATAAAAAAATTAACAAGTTAGAGTCTTTATTATTAATTTTTAACATAACCTGAAACCTTGTGCCAAAAATAAATTAGAAGCATTTGCTTTTCTTTCTTTTTTTTTTTTTTTTTTTTTTTGAGATGGAGTCTTGCTCTGTTGCCCAGGCTGGAGTGCAGTGGCACAATCTCAGCTCACTGCAAGCTCTGCCTCCCAGGTTCATGCCATTCTCCTGCCTCAGCTTCCCGAGTAGCTGGGACTACAGGCGCCTGCCACCACACCTGGCTAATTTTTTGTATTTTTAGTAGAGACGGGATGTCACCGTGTTAGCCAGGATGGTCTCGATCTCCTGACCTCGTGATCTGCCCGCCTTGGCCTCCCAAAATGCTGGGATCACAGGCATGAGCCACTGCGCCCAGTTGCATTTGCTCTTTTTTAATGTCATCGTTTTCTTTTTCTAGCTCTATAGTGGAGCTAAGTGAAAAGTAACAAGTTTAGTTAATCATCTAGTGGTTTTCCGTGGGACTTCAGATACCTTCTGTGCCAAATCTTTTAATTGGTGATGAATGGTGTGTGTGTGCACATGCATGTGTGTGTGGTGTTTGTTCAGGCCCTTGCTTCTCAAAGTGTGGTCCACCAACCCAGCAGCATCAGCCTCAGGTGGGAGCTTTTAGAAACTGGAATCTCAAGCCCCACCCCAATTTACTGAATTGGAAGGTGCATTTTAACAAGATCCCCAAGTGAACTGTATGCACATTCAAATCCCAGAAGCACTGGCTTAAGAATGGCCTTACTGATTGATTTGGCTAGCGATCCCATATTGGTAAATTTCCTATGCAAAGCAAGTTCTTTTAATCATAGCAAAGGGACAGAGATCCATTCAAAAGGACTGAGAGGCAGCTTCAGGAACTGAGTTGTATGGTGATCCCCTCAACACAAAGAGTTCTCCACCATTGATATAACTCAGTCTCTCATTTGGTCTCTGCTTCTCTCATTCCTTTTATCTTCTTATTTTTTCCCTTACTATTTATTGGCTGTTTTTTTCTCTGACTTCCTGGTGACATTCTATGGAGAGATTGTCAGATTGTCCTAATTATTCACCTCATTTCATTAAGCAGAGCCTCATGCACACATTTTCTCATGACCAGCCTGTACATTGTCTACCCTTGGGTCTGTTGGGGGTCCACAGCTGATGCCTGTATCTCTTATCACCGACGGTGATACAATCTCCCTTAAAAGGGCCCACGGGCATGGAAGACCTGATCGTTTTATGCATACTCTTCTCATACTTAAAGAAGATATCATAATAATTCATCACAGCATGAGATCCAAGCTCTGTCCCCAGAAATGGAACTGAATTTGCTGAACCACTTACAACCTCTATCAAATGTACTTTTGTGTGTGATTGGTAAAGACTTGACTGTACTTAGAAATAAGAGGTCACTGAGTACTCAGGAAGCACAATAAATGTACTACCCCACTCATAAATCAAACCCAGTCTAGTCCACAATAGTTCATCAGTTGCCCAATAAAACCAACAAGCTAGGCTGGGTGCAGTGGCCCACGCCTGTAATCCCAGCACTCTGGAAGGCCAAAGCAGGTGGATCACGAGGTCAGGAGATCGAGACCATCCTGGCTATCATTATGATCTCTACTAAAAATACAAAAAATTAGCCGGGCGTGGTGGGACACCCCTGTAGTCCCAGCTACTCCAGAGGCTGAGGCAGGAGAATCTCTTGAACCCAGGAGGCAGAGGTTGCAGTGAGCCGAGATTGAGCCACTGCACTCCAGCCTAGATGACAGAGCGAGACTGCATCTCAAAAAAAAAAAAAACAACGAAGCTAAACTTTTGCCTATTTTCTCTTCTGGCCCTGTGTGTTTGATTCTTAAGCTGGTCCCTGGACTCTCCTGCCTTCACCCCACTTGTATGTTAGCATATCACCACTGCAAGCTGCTTCCATATCAAAGACACAAGCACAAGATTTTGAGGTGGCTGGGGTGGAAGCTGTCCCCACAGTCCAACTCCCAATAGCTCATCTCAGGCCTGCCCTCTGCTCTCTCCGCACCAGCATTCAGAAGTCATTTTGGCCAAATAGGACACACAGTAGTTGGTGACCATTTATTCAGCATCTGACAAGCTGAGGATGAGATAGGAGGAGATCTAGTCTCCTTGGAAATCCCGCCACATGCTAAGAAGATAACAAACCCACAGTATGAGAAAAGCAGATATAGGCTACAAGGGACTTTTACCTAGAGGTGGTAAGAGGAGAGATCAGGAAGTCTGGCCAGAGAAAGTGTTTACCTTAATATTACAAAGCTGACAAGTAAACTGGCAAATTTCTATCCATCAGCTTGCTCATTTGTTTGTTCATTCATTCATTCAACAAACATTGAGCACTCAGTGTCATTTAAGCATCATGATATTGAACAGCAGATATTAATTTTCCCATTTTGCAGATGAAGAAATGAAGCCTAGAAAGACAAAATTACTTCCTGAGATAAGACACACACAAATAAAGAACAGACTCTCAGGGATGTGTGGAACTAAAACAAAAGATTTAGGATTGATGTCATCAGTGTCCCACTAGGCAAGCAGAAAGTGGGTAGGATTTACAAAGTGTTCAAAGAAATAATGGCTGAAAATATCCTGAATTTGGCAAACAACATAAACATACAGATTCAAGAAGATAAGAGAACACCAAACAGGACAAATCCAAAGAAATCCACAGCATGATGCATAATATTCAAACTTCTGAAAACTAAAGACAAAGAAAAAAATCTTGAAAGCAGCCAGACAGAAGTCATTCATTGCTTACAGGGGAAAAACAATTCACATGACAGTAGATTTCCTATCAGAAACCATGAAGGCCAGAAGGAAGGTACACAACATTTTCCAAGTGCTGAAGAAAAGAATTGTCAACCCAGAATTCTATAATCAGTGATAGTTCCTTCAAGAATGAAGGAGAAATCAGGACATTTTCAGATGAAAGAAAACTAAGAGAATTTTTTGCCAGTGGATCTACCCTAAAAGAATAGCTAAAGGAAGTTCTCTAAACAGAAAGGAACTGATAAATCAAGAAATTTTGGAATATCAGGAATGAATAAAGGACATAAGAGCAAA
The DNA here is from genome assembly GCF_000001405.40 of Homo sapiens. NCBI lineage: Eukaryota > Metazoa > Chordata > Mammalia > Primates > Hominidae > Homo > Homo sapiens. The sequence goes on along the minus strand of NC_000020.11, from coordinate 4,312,665 downwards.
AATTTGGGTAAATACAATAGACTTTTCTTCTCAGGTTTTCTAAAGTATCTTTGATAGTTGAAGTGAAAATTATAACTGTTCAATATGATTCTCAAAGAATGTAGAGGAAATATTTAAGACGATTATAAGTGGGAGAGGGTAATGGGAAATATAGGAGGTAAGACTGCTGTACTCATTCAAGCTGGTAAAATGTTGACAGTGGGAAACTGTTATAATCAGGTATATATAATGTAATACCTGTAAGAATTAAAGAAGAAGGAAAGAAACACGAAAGGTGGATTGCCAGTTAAGACAGGTTTATTTTAGAGAAAACAAACCTGAGAGAGGCATTTGGCTGAGTTAGGTCAGAGGCACACTTTTTTACAGACTAAGAGTTTTTAAGGATTTGGGGTGGGAGAGTTTATTAGATGCTTGGCCTGCTTCTGTGTTTCTTTGTTGTGCTTATTTGGGAGGGAGAGTTGTGTGTCTGTTCCCATACATCTTTCTGCAGCTGCAGGCATATCCCCTGAGTCTCTTAGCTTCCCTAGCTTAGTGCACCTGAAGGGAAAGGAATGTACTTATTAAGGCCCACTGTTTTACTGGGGCCCATTGTATGAGGGTGAAGTTTGGCAGTTACCCAAGAGACTTTTCCCCCACCTCTTTCTGTGTCCAAGCTGTCTTATCTGTGTTTTACTGTCTGCTCTTTCTGGCTGCTTGTTGTTAGAAGAGAAGTGATTTCCTTGAAATGCATGAGGCTAGTAAGGGAGCTGGAACTTAAAGTGGCAGTGTTTGTCTGAGATGATGGTGCTCCTTCTCTGTCAATACCTAGAGCAAGAACTAAGATCTACACAAAAAGATACACTCAACAGTATAGATAAAACAAATTGGATTCTTTAAAAATGTTCGAATACCTTAAAGGAAGGCAAGAAAAAAAAACACAAGCAAAAAGCCAAGAGAACAAACAGAAAACAAAAAAATAAAATGGCAGACATAAGCCATAACATATCAAAAATTACATTAAATGTAAATGGTCTAAATATACCAGTTAAAACACAGACAATAACAGAATGCATTTTTAAATGACCTAACTCTATGACATCTATATGAAATTCACTTCAAATATAATAAAGTATTTCAAAATAAAAATACCCCTCAAATTACCTCCTTCTCAGGATCCTTCTGGGATTTAATGAGGTAATGGGTGAATGTGTGGTTAGCACAGTGTCTGCCATCTAGCAAGTGCTCAATAAATGGTAGGAGGGAGTACGGAGGAGCATAGCAGGCAGAACTGTGTGTTTATCTGTAAGGAAAGCAGCCATTTAAAAGCAGCCACTTTCTTCTTTCCTAAATGGAGCAGATATTTGGGAAGAATTCCTCACATGGCCTCTCTTGGTTATGTAAATATCAGAAAAATCACCACCATTTCCTCAAGAAAAAGGGAACCGCAAGAGAGTTTGGTGGCCTGACAAAGGCTCTTCCTTACAAAACCCTCGAGGATGTAGAGCTATTGCTTGGTGGTAGGACCAAGGGGATCTAGGGACCAACCCAAGCCTAGACCCCTAGAAACAGCAGGCATAATTTGGAAACATGCAAGTCTCAACTGTAACCTATAATATCAGGACCCGAAATGGAGGAAACTCATCCATGCCCAAGACTGAGGAAGCAACACAACTTTTCCTCATTGGGACTCCAGACCCATGATGACATGGGGACACCAGAGCTGAGTGTAACACCAACAAGAGAGGCCCCAGTTCTTCTGATTCCACAGCCTGTAGCCTTGCAGTGATGGTCAAAGGGACCTTGGACTGTCAGAGGCGTTTCAACAACAGCAACTCCATCTTGAGTAGGGACTAGGTAAAATGACGCTGAGACCTGCTGGGTTGCATTCTCAGGAGGTTAAGGCATTCTTAGTCACAGGATGAGATAGGAGGTCAGCACAAGATACAGGTCATAAAGACCTTGCTGATAAAACAGGTTGCAGTAAAGAAGCCGGCCAAAAAACACCAAAACCAAGATGGCAACAAAAGTGACCTCTGGTCGTCCTCACTGCTACACTTCCACAAGCATCATGACAGTTTACAAATGCCATGGCAATGTCAGAAAGTTACCCTATATAGTCTAAAAAGGGGAGGCATGAATAATCCACTCCTTGTCTAGCATATAATCTAGAAATAACCATAAATATGGGCAACCAGCAGCCCTTAGGGCTGCTCTGTCTATGGAGTAGCCCTGCTTTTATTACTTTACTTTCTTAAAAAATTTGCTTTCGCTTTGCACTGTGGGCTCACCTTGAATTCTTTCTCACTCAAGATCCAAGAACCCTCTCTTGGGGTCTAAATTGGGACCCCTTTCCCATAACAGGACCATGTCAGGCTACCTCTTTTCAATGGCACCATCTGTGTGGCAGCTGTAGGATCAAGGGCATTGGGATACAGAAGTCTGCTAGTGACTAATCAGATCCTCTGTTCTCTCTGTAGGGGTTCTGGAAGCAGGACAGACTCCACTGGACTGAGTAAATCCCTGGTGCTCAGTCATAATTCAGCACAAAGAGAAATACTAGATCATCATTAGTCTGGGTAGGTTAGGGCTAAAGATTAAATGCTAAAGAGACATAGCCTCACTTGTGTCTCCAGGTCAAGTAATGGGCCTTACCATCATCATCACTATTATAATTTTTTTTTTAATCTCTGCAGATCAAGGCTCAGGAGCAGCCCTGGGAGGCCCACACTTTCTCAAAGTTGAAATTCACTTACTTACTCATTCAGCAAATATTTCTATAACGTCTGCTATGTGTTTGGCACCAGAGTTACAATATTAGAAGAGAAAAAAACAAAAAGTCCTTGATCTCAAGAAGTTTATATGCTGGTAGGGGGAGACAATAATGGTAGATGCCAGGAGGGAGTCGTGTGTGTGTGTGTGTGTGTGTGTGCGCGCGCGCGCGTGTGTGTGAGATACTAGGTGGAGGAATAAAGCAGAGTAAAATATCAGAGAGTGAGAGTGGAAAGTGCATCTTACATGAATGGCCAAGGAATGTGTTTCTGAGCAGGGATCCCAAGTAAGTGGGAAGTCATATTGACATCTAAGGAAAAGCATTTTAGGCAGAGGGAACACCAGGTGCAACATCCCCCAAGTGTAAGCTTGCTTGGCAGTTTCAAAAATAATAAGAGGGCCAAGCACTATGGCTCACACCTGCAATCCCAGCACTCTGGGAGGCCAAGGCAGGTGGATTGTTTGAGGCCAGGAGTTCAAGACCAGCCTGGCCAACATGGTGAAACCCTGTTTCTACTAAAAATACAAAAAAATTAGCCAGGCATAGTGGCGCACATCTGTAGTCCCAGGTACTTGGGAGGCTGAGGCATGAGAATCACTTGAACCCAGGAAGCAGAGGTTGCAGTAAGCCAAGATCACGTCACTGTGCCCCAGCCTGGGCGACAGAGCAGGACTCTAACTCAGAACAAATACAAACAAACAATAATAGGGGATTGTGGCTGGATCAGAGTGAGCAAAAGGAAAAACAGTAGAAGCTAAAGTCAAAGTGGTGGTGGAGGCCAACCATGGTCTTGCCTACCATGAAAAGGCTCCGTATTTCACTCCGAATAAGATGGGAATTTCTGGAGGGCTTTGAAGCAAAGAAGAGTTCACATACTGGAGTGACATACAATTTTAGAAAGATAAATGTGCCTCCTGTGTGGAAAATGATGTTGGCGACAGACACCCGCCAGGAGACTATTGCACTAAACAAGACAAGAGGTGACTGTGGCTCAAACCAGAGTGTGGCAGTGGAGAAGGTGAGAGGTGCTCAGATTTGGGATGTATTGTGAAAGTTGAGCCAGTAAGTTTTGCTGCCATATTGGAGAGAGAGGAGTCAAGGATAAAGTCAAGGTCAAGCTAGATTTCAGTTTTTAAGAAAAGAACATTTTTGTTCAC